>NC_000006.12:10969090-11120606 GCF_000001405.40 Homo sapiens
GCTTTTTATACAGATATCCACTTGGGGATTTTCTTCAATTTAGAGGTCTAAAGTAGATTTTGTAAGCAGACCATCTCCAAGTATATTTTTATAAGGATGTAATTCTATTTACCTTGAAGAGTATAGTAGTTATTTTTGCAAAACATGTATTTAGTTTAATTTTAACTTGAGAGTAAACTGAGTAGGTGATTTTTTTAAAAACTGCTTTCATGTCCAAGACTGTGCTTTGTTATTTTTGACCTGATAATTCCCCTTCTAGGAAATTATCTTTTTTTTTTTTTTTTTTTTGAGATGGAGTCTAGCTGTGTCGCCCAGGCTGGAGTGCAGTGGCATGATCTTGGCTCACTGCAAGCTCCGCCTCCTGAGTTCACGCCATTCTCCAGCCTCAGCCTCCCGAGTAGCTGGGACTACAGGCGCCCGCCACCACGCCCAGCTAATTTTTTTTTTGTATTTTTAGTAGAGACGGGGTTTCACCGTTTTAGCCAGGATGGTCTCGATCTCCTGACCTCGTGATCTGCCCGCCTCGGCCTCCCAAAGTGCTGGGATTACAGGTGTGAGCCACCGCGCCTGGCCGGAAATTATCTTAAAGATGAAATTGGACATGTGCAAAGATACGTGCAATAATATATATTACAAACTTGATCATAATAGGGAGATAATGGAAAGTGCCTAGATGCCCAGCTAAATACAGTCATATGATATGCCATGTAGCCACTACAAAGAAAGATTTACATGATATTAATTGACTTGAGAAGATGTTTAACAGTAAGTGAAAAGTCGCAAAGTAGCATATATAACATGATCCCACCTGTATGAAATGTTATATGAGTATGTGCCTGCTCATTACTCAGTAAACAGCTAAGTCTTTTAGGTGCCAGGGACTGTCTTAGATGCTGGGGTAGAATGATACCCACAGGATCCCTGACCTCATGGTGTACATTCTATAGGATTGAGTGTGGTAATAAAGGAAACAGATGAGGATTCATGCCAGTGCTAAGAAGGAAAACACTGTGGATAAGAGAGAGACTCACAGCGTGGAAGGAGGAAACCAAGTGAAACCTCTCTAAGGATATGACATTTGAGCTGAAGTCTGAAGGTCGAGATGGAGCCAGCAGCAGGGAAGACTGAGGAAGCCCATTTCAGAGGGAATGGCCCAGGCAGATGCTCTGAGATTAAGTATATTAATATACTTAGTATATTCTAAGAATTTAGGGAAGGCCCCAATAGAAGGAGCAAGGGTAGAGTACATAAGATGAAGTCAGGAAGGGTGTGGGTGTGGATGGTGGGGGTGACCCAGGACCTTACAGGCCGTGGTAAGGAGTTTGGATTTTATTCCAATTGCAATGAATGGGTAGTAGTCAAAGGACTATTTTCGAAGGCATGTATGTTTCAGGGTGGGGAATTGGATGATATGGGCAGTAGAGAAGGATCTGGAAGGATTGCTGATGGCTTGGATGTGACAGGTGGGAAAAGGCAGGATCAAGGGCAGCTTCTAGGTTTGGGGCTTAAGCAGCTGGGTGCAAACCACTGTCACTTAAGGAGGTGGAGGAGATTGGGAAAGGTCCAGTTGATTGGCCGGGGAAGGATGAGGATGGATATGAAAGGTGAGATTCAGGACATGCATTCCATATGTGATTTCAGCATCTGAATGGCATTGTCATGTAGGTAACTGGATATCTGAGACTGAAGCTCATGGCTGGGGGCTGGACATAGACTGGATAAGTTGACCTAGGGACTCAGTATAGAGAGGAAGCCCAGGACAACATTCTTGGGCTACTCCAGTGTGTTGAAGTCAGGTAGGGGAGATGAAGCCAGCAAGAGGATGAGAAGGAGTGACTAATGAGATAATCGGGCCATCACCCCCAGGCCTTTTGGCTAAGATCAAGTGTGGAGATAACTGGGCTGGGGGAAGGCGGTTACCGAGGATCAGAGTTTGCATGTATTTATGTACTTGCCTGTGAAGTAAGAGGTCTAGATTCTAAATGGATGTTCTAGAAATGTCAGCTGGGTTTATTTCTGTGTGGTGATATTTAAAGTAAATTTAATTTCTATCTTAGGCCATTCTGTGCTTTTACAACTTACTGAAAGATAGGGGGTCGGGCTCACACCTGTAATCCCAGCACTTTGGGAGGCCGAGGCAGGCAGATCATGAGGTCAGGAGATCGAGACCATCCTGGCTAACATGGTGAAACCCCATCTCTACTAAAAATACAAAAAATTAGCCGGGTGTGGTGGCACGAGGCTGTAGTCCAAGCTACTTGGGAAGCTGAGGCAGGAGAATCGCTTGAACCTGGGAGGCAGAGGTTGCAGTGAGCCGAGATCGTGCCACTGCATTCCAGCCTGGGCAAGACAGTGAGACTCTGTCTCAAAAAAAAAAAAAAAAAAGAAAGAAAGAAAGATAGGAGTTACTTTGTGAAACAAACAACATAAAAGTTTATAAAGAGTTAAATTTTTTGCTCTCTCCAGCCTTTCCTCTTATCCATGATCCAGAGACAACCACCTCTTGATAGTTGGGAGTATATTCTTCCAAAGATTATTGTGATGCTTACACAAGAATATATACAAATATTTACACATGTATACTTATATATGTTTTTGTTTTTGTTTTTTTGAGAAGGAGTTTCGCTCTTGTTGCCGAGGCTGGAGTGCAGTGGCACGATCTTAGCTCATTGCACCTCCTCCTCTGAGGTTCAAGCGATTCTCCTGCCTAAGAGGCTGGGATTACAGGTGCCTCCCACCACACCCGGCTAATTTTTTATATTTTTAGTAGACAGAGTGTGTCGCCATGTTGGCCAGGCTGGTCTTGAACTACTCACTTCAGGTGATCCACCCACTTTGGCCTCCCAAAGTGCTGGGATTACAGGCATAAGCCACTGCGCCCAGCCTATAAATATGTATTAATTGATTAATTGATATACTAAATATATATTATTAGTTCACTCAGCAATAAAAATAGGACTCGCCTCTTAGCAATACAAGATCTTATTTTTTAATAACTGCAAAATAGTTTATAAACATGCTATAACTTATATATTTTTCCCTATAATGGACATCCAGGTTATTTTTAATTATTATTCAAAAATTTGTAGTGAATATCTTTGTACACATACCTTGAATTACATTATTGAGGAAAAAAATACTGTTTTCTTTTGAGGAAATAGCAATAACAACAAATCTCCAAATCAAAATAAGACTAAAAGAGGATATTAAAAAAAGACTAATCTGGGCTAAGAATATTGGAATAATTCCCAGCTCCAATAGAGAATTGGATTAAATGTGAACTAAATGTGCATGTTACATTTGGTCACAAGTAACAGAAATTGGACTCTGGCGGCTAAACCAAATAGGGCTTTTACTTTTTTCCCTGTGAAGAGCAGCAGCGTAGTCCAGGGCTGGTGGTACAGCAGCTTTAAGTAGTCATTAGGGACCTGGGTTCTTTGAGCTTTTTGCTTTACCGTTCTTTTTGTGACTTGGGAATTTTATAATCACAGCATGGCTGTTGTACCTCTAGGTATCTTTTCTACACCCCAGGCAGGAAGAAGGAGTTGAGTAAAACTAAAAGGTAAAAGATGTATGCCAACATCCTCCCCTCTTTCGCTTTTTATTTATTTAGTCTATTTTGAGATGAGGCCTTGCTGTGTTGCCCAGGCTGGTCTTGAACTCCTGGGCTCAACTTATCCTCCTGTCTCAGCCTCCCAAAATGCTGAGATTATAGGCGTCTGCCACCATGCCCAGCTTCCTCCCCACTTTTTAAAATCAGGGAAACAGTTTTCCTGGAAGCCCAAGCTGATAGATTTTGTCTGCATCATAGTGGCCAGAACTAGGTCACATGGCTCACCCTAGTTGCAAGGGAATCCGGAGAGGTGAAAATTTGACTGAGTGTGTCACAGCACTCCCCAAAAGTGGGGGCTTCTGTTAATAAGGAAACAGGGGAGAATAGGTGTTAGATAGGTAACTAGTCATGTCTGTCATGCCTGAATTAAATTACACATGCTGCACACAGAAAAAAATGGAGAAATAACTTATATCGCTCAGGTGATTCTGCCATTCTTCTCAGTAGGCATGTGCCCTGGAGTTTGGGTGGGATGGGAGAATCTGTTCCCTCAGTTGATATCAGCTCCTACCAACCTCTTATTTATGAGCATCTAATTGGGCTGATAGGTGGGGCATGGTGGCTCACGCCTGTAATCCCAGCACTTTAGGAAGCCGAGGTGGGCGGATCACCTGAGGTGAGGAGTTTGAGACCAGCCTGGCCAATGTGGCGAAACCCCGTCTCTACTAAAAATACGAAAATTAGCTGGGCATGATGTTGCACGCCTGTAATTCCAGCTACTCAGGAAACTGAGGCAGGAGAATCACTTGAACCAGGAAGCAGAGGTTGCAGTAAGCCAAGATTGTGCCACTGCACTCCAGCCTTGCGACAGAGTGAGACTCCATCTCAAAATAATAATAATAATAATAGGTCTGATTGCCAATCTGGCTATTAACAACATGTAGTTTTCCTAGTGTGGCCCCTAAAGCCAGGCCACCCACTTCATCTGGTGCTATAACAGAGAAAGAGCTGTCTTATCTCCAACATCCAACAAAATCACCTGTTAGGTTAAACTATCGAGAGATGGCAGGTACATCTTCAGAGTGGCATGTGTTGAAGAGATTTCTGAGGATAACCAGGCAGTTTCTGCCGAGGACACTGACATGAGCTTTTGACAACCATGTAAGATGCTTCACTGAATACCTGAGTTAGTGAGATGTAGCGGATAAAAAGGAATGATGCTCCTATTGGCTCACAGGGTTCTTAGGGACTAAGAGGAGGACAGTTCGGCCTTGACTAATTACTGCTCTCCTTTTCCTTTTCTGCCAGCCTGGGCTGCCTGAAGACGAAGAGAAAGAGCAAGGTTATTGTTGGCTCAGGCCTTGTTAGCCAGACTTCGTGCTCTGTACGCATTCAATTTCCTCCCCTCCAAACATCATCCCTGGGAACTGCTGAGTTCAGATAGAATATATGTTGGTAGTTTGCAGTTGGGTTATTATCCATTTGTTCATAAAAATTAACCTTTTGTATTAAAATTTGGTCAGATAGTATTAATAGAAAGTTCAGGATGTTAAACAACTTGGAGTGGTGTTGCTTTTTTTTTATAAAAGTAAAATGGACTTTTTTTTGTTTGAGAAATGTCTTCAAGTTTTGTGTGAATAAAACACTTTAGCAGCATCTGTATAAATACAATTGGATGTGTCTCTTGGAAGGAGAAATTTGAGTTGAAGATGATGAAGGTAGCTCAGGTAAAAATGGTGGCTTTACATTTGTTTTAATTGATTAATTAATTTTTTTGAGACAGAGTCTCACTGTGTCACCCAGGCTGGAGTGCAGTGGCACGATCTCAGCTCACTGCAATGTCCGCCTCCCAAGTTCAAGCGATTCTCTGCCTCAGCCTCCCAAGTAGCTGGGATTATAGGCGTGTGCCACCACGGCTAGCTAATTTTTATATTTTTAGTAGAGACAGGGTTTCACCATCTTGGCCAGGCCGATCTTGAACTCTGGGCCTCGTGATCCACGCACCTTGGCCTGCTGAAGTGCTGGGATTACTGACATGAGCCACCGTGCCCAGCCTGTGATATGTTTTGAAAATAAACTTATTAGGAGGTCTCATTTGATCTGCAAATATTCTCATTTCTCCAGCACTTCAACAAAAGTGTCACCTTTAGCAGGGCAGAAATATTCATCATGTTGTTATTAATTACTAGATGCTCTAGTGAAGTTTGAGTGGATGAAATTGCACATACAGGTAAGCATTTGAATTTATTTTGGAAAAATGGAGCCTACATCATTTAAGGCCATCTACAAAGTACCTTTGTTCATGACTGGATAAGTGAAGTGAAAGACTGCAGACTGAATACTTTATTCACTATATAATAAAACTTAGTTACATTATGTAGGTTATTAATTTATAGTTTAATTTGTCTAAAACGTTTATAATTCCTATTTTGCCATCTTCTATATAATTTTTCTTTTTTGAGACGGAGTCTCGCTCATGTTGTCTAGTCTGAAGTGCAATGGCCCGATCTCGGCTCACTGCAACCTCCCCCTCCCAGGTTCAAGTGATTCGCCTGCCTCAGCCTCCCGAGTAGCTAGGATTACAGGCACACACCACCACAACTGGCTAATTTTTTGTATTTTTAGTAGAGATGGGGCTTCACCATCTTGGCCAGGCTGGTCTCAAACTCCTGACCTCAGGTGATCCGCCTGCCTTGGCCTCCCAAAGTGCTGGATTGCAGGCATGAGCCACCACACCCAGCCAAGAGCACTTATTTTTTAAGTCCAAAAAACATGAATGAGGTTAACTAACTTCATTTCGTTTAGGTATATCCAGTTCAGGGCTCACAGTTTCTCATGACCTGAGAGTGTATGGATTTCAGTGCCATTACATGGACTGTCTTCATTGAAGTACGTCTGAAGAATTTATATGACTTCCAGCACCTAGTGAGCATATATTTGAGCACTGTTCTCTACAAACCCTTGAGTAAGCTGATGTGGCAGATGTTAGGATGGATACGACGCTATCTTAGCTGCAAAGAACTTAGTCTAGAGAGGACAGTAAGACACCCAGGTCACTGTAAATCAAGGCTCTATGTGACAAGTGCCAAAATGAAGTGTAAAGTGATCACCATCGGGATTATGAGGAGGTAGAAGTCATTTTTGTTGGGGTGGCAGGATGGCTTCCTGGAGGAGAGGTATCACTTGAAATAGATCTTGAAGGATGAAGGAGTTTTTTTCTAGGATTAGGAAAGAGATGCTTTCATGAATATAAGAACAGAGAAGAAAAATGCAGAATTTGTTTGAGGCCATAATACTATGGAGTATTAGTGGGAATTAAATTTAGCTAGGCCCAAACTAAAGTGTCTTTACCAGCTTGATTAGAAGGACTTTATTCTGTAGGTGAGAAGAAGCCACTGAAGACATCAGGAGCACAGTGGTTTTGGAAGATTAATCTGGTAGCAATATGAAGGCTGCATTCAGTACACTGTGGGAGGTTACTGTTACAATAAACGCCTCAACTAAAATAGGACTGGGAATGAAAAAGAGGGGACAGAGATGAGAGGCTATGGTAGGTGTAAGATTTAAAGAGCTAATTTTGAGGATGGGTTGATGGAAGTTGCAAAAACCATGAGCTTGAGATATTGGGGACATCTCTTTGGAAATACTAGAGAGGCTCTACTGCACATTGTCTTCTTCAGCGAATCCTTATAGCACTTCCTGTGTGCCATGTGCTGTGCTGGGTGCCAAGGATTCAATGTGATTTTGCCCCTGCCTGCAAGGAGTGGCAGTCTAATGGGGAGACAGACATCAGTCCAACACTTAGACAGAGAAACAGGAAAACAGCCTGGGGAGTGCTGTGCCAGGTGGTGTGTGAGCTCCCCTGGCCTGAAAAGGCAGGGCGGGGTGGCAGGATGCAGGAATCGATGTGCTTTTCCAGGCAACACGGAGAGAAGGCTGGACCAGGAGGCATCCTGGAGATGCTGACATCCAGCCCTCGGGGAAGAAGAGCAGCGTCAGCTTCCTCACCCTGACCTTGGGGACTGAGCCAGCCTTTGGGCCCATTCCCAGCCCTACACTCAGGCTCCCTTCCTTTTTGACTCACTCGTAGCCGGGAACAGCCCTGTAGCTACCCCAGCAGACTCTGTTGCCATCTGTGGCCTCAGCCTCATTTGTCATTTTAGGTGTTCCTCTGTGCTCTGACCTTCCATCCTCCGAGCAGCTCCCCTGAGGATTTGCTTTGCCCTCAGGCAGCAGATGAACTCCTGGCTTTTGCACTTGGAACCTCAGCCAACCAGGCCTGCGTGAACCAACCTCCCCTCTTGACTCCTTCCCCAACCTTCTTCCTGTGACAGAGACCGAGGCCAGTTTTTTTGCAGGGTTCAGGGCTCTAGTAGACTGCTTTCAGGGGGATTTGCTAGAGGCCATAGATGACTATAGGGAAGGGTCTTCTTTCCTGTATCGTATTAAGTTTTTATTGAACTCTATGGTTTTAAGAACTTTTTAAATTTTAGATTCGGGGGTGTATGTGTAGGTTTGTTAAAGGGTATATTGTGTGATGCTGAGGTTTAGGCTTCTGTTGACCCTGTCACCCAGATAGTGAGCATAGTACCCAATAGGAAGGTTTTCAATTCCCCCACCCCTGCCTTTTGGAGTCCCCAGTGTCAATTGTTCCCCTTTTATGTCCATGTGCACTCAAGGTTTAGCTCCCACATATAAGTGAGAACATGCGGTATTTGGTTTTCTGCCCCTGCATTAATTTGCTTAGGATAATGGCCTCCAGCTGCTTCCATGTCACTGCAAAGGATATGATTTCATTCTTTTTTATGGCTGTGTAGTATTCCATGGTGTATATATACCACATTTTCTTTATCCAATCCACTGTTGATGGGCACCTGGGTTGATTCTGTGTCTTTGCTATTGTGGATAGTGCTGGATAAACATACAAATGCAGGTATCTTTTTGGTAGAACAATTTATTTTCCTTTGGGTAGATGATACCCAGTAGTGGGATTGCTGGGTTGAATGGTAATTCAGGTTTTCGTTCTTTGAGAAATCTCCAAACTGCTCTCCACAGGGGCTGAACTCATTTACATTCCCACCAACAGGGTATACGCATTCCCTTTTCTCTGCAGTCTCGCCAGCATGTTGTTGTGGGCATTTTTCCCTGTGGTGACAAAGGCACCTGAAGCATCCCCTGCCCCAGCCCCATGAGCTGAGCAAGGGGCCGGCTTCTTTCTTACTGCTTCCTCCTCCTCCATCTCAGCTGCAGTCACTCAGATGCTCCTGAAAGTATTCAACACATACACCCCTTAGCTCTTCCTCCCTTTCAGCAACTACTGTAACTGTTCCTTCACATCCCTAGTTCTTCAGAAGGATTTTCATATGGCTTGCTTCATCATTGTTTTTCTTCGACTTCCCATTCATTCTAAAGCCCCCTGTAATCTGCCAACTGCCTCCCAAGGGCCAAATTCAGTGCCTTCCCCCCCCACGCCTTCACTAGTTGCTCACCTTGCTGCCTTGCAGCGTTTTTCTCTGTTTAAATATTCTCTTTTTCCTTGGCTTCTGGGACACCACTTTCTTTGAAGTCTATTTGAACTCTTCACCCGTCAAAACTAACCTCAGGCATTACTTCCTTTAGGAATGTTTCTCTGGCAATATATATATATATATATATATATATATTTTTTTTTTTTTTTTTTTTTTTTTTTTGAGAGGGAGTCTTACTCTGTTGCCCAGGCTAGAGTGCAGTGGCGTGATCTCGGCTCACTGCAACCTCTGCCTCCCAGGTTCAAGTGATTCTCCTGCCTCAGCCTGCCAAGTAACTGGGATTACAGGCATGGCCACCACGCCTGGCTAATTTTTGTAGTTTTGGTAGAGACGAGAATTCACCATGTTGGCCAGGCTGGTCTCGAACTCCTGACCTCAGGTGATCTGCCCATCTTGGTCTCCCACAGTGCTGGGATTACAGGCGTGCGCCACTGTGCCCGGCCTCAATACTTATTTTATAGCTAAATGTTTATCTACTTTATTAGACTATGAACTCTGAGGACAGATATTTCATCTAGATCATTCTATATCCCTAACACGATACGTAGTGCTGGACAAGATTTGATGAATTTTTAGACTGAATATAACTATTTCCAGAGTTTATCAAACTCCATAGGTCTAAACTAGCTTGAAAAGAATAGGAGCTGGTTCTACATGAGCTGTCTTACGTACAGTGCTTCAGTCTCAGAGAAATCTGCAACATCTATCATTTGTTTCTAGGGCCACTGCCGGTAAGTCTGTGTTCATCTCCCTGTAAGTATATCATATGGGCCCAGGCGAAACTCTATATAGACTTTCTCCTTTTGTTGTTCAATGTATAGGCATCACAAATTCAAATGCCTTCAGGGGCCAGCCAGGTTAATAGGCTGAATAAAAAGGATGAATGGGCCGGGTGCCGTGGCTCACACCTGTAATCCTAGCACTTTGGGAGGCTGAGGTGGGCAGATCACCTGAGGTCAGGAGTTCGAGACCAGCCTGGCCAACATGGCAAAACCCTGTCTTTATTGAAAAAAAAAAAAAAAAATTAGCCGGGAGTGGTGGCACATGCCTGTAATCCCAGCTACTTGGGAGGCTGAGGCAGAGGTTGCAGTGAGCTGAGATCACACCATTGCATTCCAGCCTGGGCAACAAAGTGAGACTCTTGTCTCAAAAAAAAGAAAAAGAAAAAGGATGAGTGATGGTGATTGTGGCAACTACAAGAGAAAATGCCCATCTCAAGTCATCCAGGTAGCTATAGACCATGGCACATGCAACATCAAGGGATGTGTGACAAGCTTCGCCTTCCTCAGCCTACCAAATGTGGTCACAGACACTTTCAGAACAGGCTCCCGGTGGGTTGCTCGTTAGATCCACAATGACCGCATTTACCAATTGCTCAATGAGGGTACGGATTACAGATTTCCTTGTCCTCTCAGTGTTATTCCAGTGTTCTGCAGTGCAATTGAAGATGGAAAAATGACCTACAAATCAATAGCTTTCAGTCTTTTTCCCCCTATGACTGAAAGTCATGTTTTACTGAAGGTCAGGGAATCCTGAGGTGACTGTAGTTAGTCTCCTAGGAGTGATTATTTCCTTGCATACTCTGGAGAGAAACTCTTCCTTAAATATGGGAATGTAATTTTTCTTGGAAGAGAGCCTGCTGTAACAAAAACACATGCTGAATTTTTTCTTTGCATAAAGGAATTAAGAGGCTTATTGATGTGAACGCTTGTTGAATAAGCAGCTCTTTAAGTTTGTGACAACAGTTATTAGGCTTGCCATAGAGACATAGGATTTATCTTTTATTTTTAAACACAAAGTTTTATTAAGTTCCACCCACCATTTAAAATAACAAAGGGAAGGCTCCTCTAAAACGTTAACCTCCCACCCCAAACTCTAGCCCCCATTCAGATAGCTAAAATAAGGTCTTCTCCTATTCCCTCTTCTCCTCCTGCCCTTCCTTAAAATCTATCCTGTCCCACCTGTCACTATCCAGGAATTTAAGCAATTTTTTAATCAGACTTTGAGCACATCTTTTGTAGTTTTCTTTAGGATCTGTGTCTCATTATACTTAATATCACATTCAAAACTCGACTCTCTACACTGACAAAACGCCAACCTGTGGTCCTGCCCCTCGCCTCAACTCTCCCAGGCATCCTCACAGTCAGGCCTCACTCACCTACATCTCCTCCCGAGCTGAGCTGACCACCTCTCTCCCCATGCAGGTGCTCTGTGAATTGTATCCTGGGTTTCAGGGCATTGCACGATGTCGTTCCTGCCTAAAAATTTCTCCTCAAACAAATCTAGTGCTCCTCCCTAGGTGGCTTTATATAGCAATTTATTAATTATCGTCTTTATATCCTCTGCTAATCTTACGTTTTTCTAGTGAATGGCCATTTTTGAAACAGCTTAACTTGGTATATGAATACAATGTAAAGGTAATGATATAATCCATTGCTCACTGAAACAAGAGAAGAATTAAATGTCTAAAATTCATGGCTAAAATAATGCCTTATTGTAAAAATAACTCCCAAGTGATAGGTCATTTGGAATTCCATGCAGGCATACATTTTAACTGCTTTGAACCAAATAAAACTCGCAACATGCATTTAATGTAAAAATCAATTTATTATACAACAATCATAGATAATGCTTTTTATCTACAAAGAGAAATGGCTTCTGCAGCCTCCCTGTCTACTCCATTCATGATACTATGTTCTTAAGATATAATTACTTTCAAAGGAAAACAAAGCGATATCCATATTTTCCAAACAAGGAAGCCCCCAGACACATTTATGAACGATATGGAAATATTGGAAAGAACTCAAATGGACTCCTAGATACAAAAGGCTGTTCTGCCCATCACAGTAAACACTGTTTTGCCTTAAAATAAAAATAATAAAATATTTCTCAAATGCAGGGGTGAGGACTTTACCCCGTAACATGCCTAAGTGGTTCGATATATAATTTTGATGGCTTGACAATTGCTATGTTTAATTCCATTCAGTTAACATTCCATTTTGTTAGTTTAAAAAATTGGGGGAATTATTAATAGATATGCTTTACAGTATTTAAGTATTTTCATTCCCATGGGTCAGAGGAAATTTGAGAGAAAACATTCTCCATTTTTTTTAATAGATTATAGAAATATTAATTTTTCAATAGTTTTAGAAAAATCACATTAAAATAAGCATTTTGGTTTTTTGAAGTTACAACACTTAACGACAGGTTAAAATGTTTACCTGATTTATTTTTTGTGGCTAAGATTTCATAACTATTTTTTTAATTAGCCCTTGAATGGTTTAAGGCTATAAGTGTTTTATGAAGCATCTCTTGAATTGAAGACCAAATTGGAAATACACATCATGAATGAAACCTCTCTCTAGTCACTGGCATTAGTTTGAAAGTATAAGCTACCCACATTTTTCACTTTCATCAGAGAGGTTTCAAGCTGCCTTGTACTTAAAGCTGCTTGACTTTGTCTGCTGAAGGACAGCTCCCTCCTTGCCATACAGATATGAAGCCCAGGAAAACATCCAGAGTGGCAGGTATGCTATGCACTGAGACCTTAGGGCCTCACTGGCACGTAAGAATAAGCTGAATGTGATGACCAGTGAGCATATTAGACCAGTCTGTCTTCTAAGTCTCATTTTTATCTGGAACGCACTTTGGTAAGAGATTTCAGCCTATATTTGAGATCTAAACTGAACTAGGGTCCAGTTTCTCCAAAGGGCTTTCTCCTTGGTCCAACTTGTGTTTTGTCACAGAGGAGCCATTAACAGTCATGCTTGAAGCTAGCCCTTGTTTTAAAATAAATTGCTGGGAGAGAACAAGACAGAACAGTTATAAGGTGATGCAAGATGGAAGTGGTGATGAAGCACCCTAGAGCAAGTCAGCTTCAGAAAATGATTTAGAAAGATAAATGTAAGAGTCAGGGGCATCACACAGGAGACATCTGTTCAACAGAAATGGGTCGGCCGCACTGAAGGGAAGGAAGCAGGTGCAGTGCATCACCCTAGAGACTATCCTAAGCATTAGGCACCTTCCAAAAAATATGCCCAAATCCTCAGAGGGGCAGTTTACATGAAATAAAAGTACAATTTTTTTAACAGGAGAAAGTTTAAAACTAGAGCTCAGGGGGGAAAAAAAGCCGAGAGAGAAAGGCACTCTGGACGCTAATGAGTGGGGACGGTGGTGGAAATGCCTTTCTGGTGTGCATGTATTTGATGTCAGTGTCAGGACCTAAAAACTTATTTAAAAAAATAAGGCAGGAGAGAAGATGAAGTGACTTCATCGAAGCTAACAAGTTTTATTTTATAGGGTATAAATTAATCTTCAAAAAAATCTTCAGAAAATATTCTTTGTTTCCATTCTTGGTAGAGTTTAGTAGTGAGTAACAGTCCTGCACTTATGGAGAAAGGAAATACTCATTAATACTTTTGTCTACTTTTGTGCTTGCTTCTCGGTAGAGATCGCATATACCTGAGCAGGGAACAGGAGTGCTGAGTTTGCCAAACTGGCATTTTTTATCGTGGCTCATGACCGGCCCACGGCTCAGTGCTGGAATCTTTCCAAGCTACTCCATCTTTTTCCTCCCAGCTTCAAAAACTTAAATAACCTGTGAAGAGTGACAACAGGTATCTGAGGTAATATTCACAAGTAGGCTCACAAAAAAGAGTTGACGAATTCAGTGCCTATTTTGCTCCCATCACTCTGCTACTTCTGCTAGTTCTGATTTATACATATTCCAGCAGCATGCATGTTCAAAGAAAAAGGTCGGAGTGGACTCCAGTGCTTGCTCAGAAAGTAAACGGGCAGCCAGATTTGTACACTGCTCGTGGTGTGGAGCATGGCATCTGTATAACCTAGGCTGACTGGCACAAGAGGGAGACATGAACAGATGAATGATTAGGGAAACAGAGGAACAATCCTATCCACAGCCCCTGAATTATGAAAATCTTGCAGAAGCATTTTTTTCTCCTTAGAATAACTAATATTTAAAATAAATACCAATTTCATTACCATATCACTAAATTTAGAATCAGGAGTGGTTGTGGGAATCTGATAGACAAGACTCTGGCTTACAGAAAGAGAAGTTTTGCTAGATTTTTCTATCTTCTGTGTATGATCCCATTTTAATATTTTCTGGGGTTGATTGCTAAAGGAACAAATGGAATGATTATGCACTGGCATTATTGCTTAATATAGATTAGAACATACCCTGTATTTAGAATATAATTAACATTTTGTTGTAAACATTTTAATCTGAACAAAACCCTTTTTATTTGGAGACTCTCTGTGAGAAACAATGCTCCACGTTTCCTGGCTGTGTATGCGTATAAGGCGTTATAAGGACAGCTTCTGGCGAAAGGTTCAGTCTGTGGGAGGGAGGGAGAGAGAAGCTGCACCAGTTCTGAGGTCCTCGGAGGTGAGCATCACCTCAATGCTGATCAAAGCATTCAGTTAACAGATTAACCTAATAGCAATATATTAATACATTCTGGGTACAAATGATTTATGAACTCAAAAGAAATTAGTTTATCCTAAAACATGTAACCTTCAATTCAGTCTTTGCTTTAAAACAAGCCAATCTGTTAGGCTAGTATATGTGCTTTTTCTGTTACTCATTTTTATTGTGCTTTCTTGTTCATCACTCCATTTGCTGCAGTGAAGTAGGCTTTGGAAAAACCATTCTTCACTTCTTTCCCTGCAGGTGGCTCTTGCATATCTTTCTTCATTGGCTTTTTTCGGTATGTCTGTTGGATGTGTATATTTTGAAGAGAAAAATAAAAAGGTTATTTAATAAGACCTTGTCTTTAACAGTGCATATAGTTAAAACAGTATGTGATTTTGTTGGGCGCAGGATTTTCTGTTTTTGTCTTTTTGAGGCAGAGTTTCAATCTGTCACCCAGGCTGGAGTGCAATGGCACGATCCCCGTTCACTGCGACCTCCGCCTCCCGGGTTCAAGTGATTCTCCTGCCTCAGCCTCCCAAGTAGCTGGGACTACAGGTGCACACCACCATGCCCGGCTAATTTATGTATTTTTAGTAGAGATGGGGTTTCACCATGTTGCCCAGGCTTGTCTTGAACTCCTGACCTCAGATGATCCACCCGCCTCGGCCTCCCAAAGTACTAAGATTACAGGCGTGAGCCACTGTGCCCAGTTGGGCACTGGATTTTCTAATAAGATTTCATGTTTATATATTATATTTTTTATTATTATTATACTTTAAGTTTTAGGGAACATGTGCACAATGTGCAGGTTAGTTACATATGTATACATGTGCCATGCTGGTGTGCTGCACCCATTAACTCGTCATTTAGCATTAGGTATATCTCCTAAAGCTATCCCTCCCCCCTCCCCCCACCCCACAACAGTCCCCAGAATGTGATGTTCCCCTTCCTGTGTCCATGTGTTCTCATTGTTCAATTCCCACCTATGAGTGAGAACATGCGGTGTTTGGTTTTTTGTTCTTGCGATAGTTTACTGAGAATGATGATTTCCAATTTCATCCATGTCCCTACAAAGGACATGAACTCATCATTTTTTATGGCTGCATAGTATTCCATGGTGTATATGTGCCATATTTTCTTAATCCAGTCTATCATTGTTGGACATTTGGGTTGGTTCCAAGTCTTTGCTATTGTGAATAGTGCTGCAGTAAACATACGTGTGCATGTGTCTTTATAGCAGCATGATTTATAGTCCTTTGGGTATATACCCAGTGATGGGATGGCTGGGTCAAATGGTATTTCTAGTTCTAGATCCCTGAGGAATCGCCACACTGACTTCCACAAGGGTTGAACTAGTTTACAGTGTAAACACCAACAGTGTAAAAGTGTTCCTATTTCTCCACATCCTCTCCAGCACCTGTTGTTTCCTGACTTTTTAATGACTGCCATTCTAACTGGTGTGAGATGTTATCTCATTGTGGTTTGGATTTGTATTTCTCTGATGGCCAGTGATGGTGAGCATTTTTTCATGTGTTTTTTTGGCTGCATAAATGTCTTCTTTTGAGAAGTGTCTGTTCATGTCTTTCGCCCACTTTTTGATGGGGTTGTTTTTTTCTTGTAAATTTGTTTGAGTTCATTGTAGATTCTGGATATTAGCCCTTTGTCAGATGAGTAGGTTGTGAAAATTTTCTCCCATTCTGTAGGTTGCCTGTTCACTCTGATGGTCGTTTCTTTTGCTGTGCAGAAGTTCTTTAGTTTAATTAGATCCCATTTGTCAATTTTGGCTTTTGTTGCCATTGCTTTTGGTGTTTTGGACATGAAGTCCTTGCCCATGCCTATGTCCTGAATGGTAATGCCTAGGTTTTTATGGTTTTAGGTCTAACGTTTAAGTCTTTAATCCATCTTGAAGTAATTTTTGTATAAGGTGTAAGGAAGGATCCAGTTTCAGCTTTCTACATATGGCTAGCCAGTTTTCCCAGCACCATTTATTAAATAGGGAATCCTTTCCCCATTGCTTGTTTTTCTCAGGTTTGTCAAAGATCAGATAGTTGTAGATACGCAGCATTATTTCTGAGGGCTCTGTTCTGTTCCATTGATCTATATCTCTGTTTTGGTAACAGTACCATGCTGTTTTGGTTACTGTAGCCTTGTAGTATAGTTTGAAGTCAGGTAGCGTGATGCCTCCAACTTTGTTCTTTTGGCTTAGGATTGACTTGGCGATGCAGGCTCTTTTTTGGTGCCATATGAACTTTAAAGTAGTTTTTTCCAATTCTGTGAAGAAAGTCATTGGTAGCTTGATGGGGATGGCATTGAATCTATAAATTACCTTGGGCAGTATGGCCATTTTCACGATATTGATTCTTCCTACCCATGAGCATGGAATGTTCTTCCATTTGTTTGTATCCTTTTTTATTTCATTGAGCAGTGTTTTGTAGTTCTCCTTGAAGAGGTCCTTCACATCCCTTGTAAGTTGGATTCCTAGGTATCTTATTCTCTTTGAAGCAATTGTGAATGGGAGTTCACTCATGATTTGGCTCTCTGTTTGTCTGTTATTGGTGTATAAGAATGCTTGTGATTTTTTGTACATTGATTTTGTATCCTGAGACTTTGCTGAAGTTGCTTATCAGCTTAAGGAGATTTTGGGCTGAGACATGGGGTTTTCTAGATATACAATCATGTCACCTGCAAACAGGGACAGTTTGACTTCCTCTTTTCCTAATTGAATACCCTTTATTTCCTTCTCCTGCCTAATTGCCCTGGCCAGAACTTCCAACACTGTGTTGAATAAGAGTGGTGAGAGAGGGCATCCCTGTCTTGTGCCAGTTTTCAAAGGGAATGCTTCCAGTTTTTGCCCATTCAGTATGATATTGGCTGTGGGTTTGTCATAGACAGCTCTTATTATTTTGAGATACGTCCCATCAATACCTAATTTACTGAGAGTTTTTAGCATGAAGGGTTGTTGAATTTTGTCAAAGGCCTTTTCTGCATCTATTGAGATAATCATGTGGTTTTTGTCTTTGGTTCTGTTTATATGCTGGATTACATTTATTGATTTGCATATATTGAACCAGCCTTGCATCCCAGGGATGAAGCCCACTTGGTCATGGTGGATAAGCTTTTTGATGTGCTGCTGGATTCGGTTTGCCAGTATTTTATTGAGGATTTTTGCATCAATGTTCATCAAGGATATTGGTCTAAAATTCTCTTTTTTGGTTGTGTCTCTGCCTGGCTTTGGTATCATGATGATGCTGGCCTCATAAAATGAGTTAGGGAGGATTCCCTCTTTTTCTGTTGATTGGAATGGTTTCAGAAGGAATGGTACCAGTTCCTCCTTGTACCTCTGGTAGAATTCGGCTGTGAATCCATCTGGTCCTGGACTCTTTTTGGTTGGTAAGCTATTGATTATTTCCACAATTTCAGAGCCTGTTACTGGTCTATTCAGAGATTCAGCTTCTTCCTGGTTTAGTCTTGGGAGGGTGTATGTGTCGAGGAATTCATCCATTTCTTCTAGATTTTCCAGTTTATTTGCATAGAGGTGTTTGTAGTATTCTCTGATGGTAGTTTGTATTTCTGTGGGATCGGTGGTGATATCCCTTTATCATTTTTTATTGCATCTATTTGATTCTTCTCTCTTTTCTTCTTTATTAGTCTTGCTAGCAGTCTATCAATTTTGTTGATCCTTTCAAAAAACCAGCTCCTGGATTCATTGATTTTTTGAAGGGTTTTTTGTGTCTCTATTTCCTTCAGTTCTGCTCTGATTTTAGTTATTTCTTGCCTTCTGCTAGCTTTTGAATGTGTTTGCTCTTGCTCTTCTAGTTCTTTTCATTGTGATGTTAGGGTGTCAATTTTGGATCTTTCCTGCTTTCTCTTGTGGGCATTTAGTACTATAAATTTCCCTCTACACACTGCTTTGAATGTGTCCCAAAGATTCTGGTATGTTGTATCTTTGTTCTTATTGGTTTCAAAGAACATCTTTCTTTATTTCTGCCTAGATTTCATGTTTATAGTATCATTTTTAAACTTCTGGTTAAAGATTAAAAATAAAGACCAAAACAAATGCATGTATTTCAATGACTATTAGAG
Source organism: Homo sapiens (assembly GCF_000001405.40). Classification (NCBI taxonomy): domain Eukaryota; kingdom Metazoa; phylum Chordata; class Mammalia; order Primates; family Hominidae; genus Homo; species Homo sapiens. The sequence goes on from NC_000006.12 coordinate 10,987,689, forward strand.
GTCACGATTTGTATATTGTGGGGCTGGCAAAGTATTCTGCATTAGTTGCTCACTTGGAAAGATAAAACTTTTAAAAATAATTCAAGTGGAAAAAGTGCTGTTATTTTAAAATACCAATACCTGGGATTCTGGCTTGATCTAGTTTTTGGCATATCCTTCCTATTCTGACAAAATACCTGATCTCGCATCTCATTTTCACTTTTTTTTTTTTTAAAGCAATAGTATTAACAAGGATCCAAACTTAAATTATATGCTTGACTTCAGAACTAAGATGCAGTTTGAACCAGCATGTAGGGCTAAGGCTTTGAATGCCATTACCTACTCTTGCTGGGCTATACGCTTCTCTTCAACACGAGGTACCAAAATCACTCCCTTAGCTTCCCTTTAACACTTAGCGTTTATTGGGAAGTTGGGGGCAGGGGTTTGCACACCCACACATAGCTTTGTTTGGTCTCATCATTGATTATTTCTTTGGAAATCTTCAAAGGAAACCTTTATCTCTTAAAACAGCCTAGTCCAATTTCAGAAATACAAGACCTGAAAAGCTGTCAAAATTCAGTTTCCACTGTTCCACACTGTATAAAACCACTATGGGGATGTGTGTGGTGGTTCACACCTGTAATCCCAGCACTCTGGGAGGCCAAGGTGGGCGGATCACCTGAGGTCAGGAGTTCAAGACCAGCCTGAACAACATGGAGAAACCCCATCTCTACTAAAAATACAAGATTAGCCAGGCGTGGTGGCACACGCCTGTAATCCCAGCTACTTGGGAGGCTGAGGCAGGAGAATCACTTGAACCCAGGAAGCAGAGGTTGTGTTGAGCCGAGACTGCGCCATTGCACTCCAGCCTGGGCAATAAGAGCAAAACTCTGTTTCAAAAAAATAAATAAAAATAAAAACCACTATGGGTTAACTTTCAGCAAGTGCAAACTAAAAAGTAAAGCACTTCTTATTAGTCTGAAAAAAATACAGTTGAATACAATTTCAAAAGTATAGTTTTGAATATAAATGTACTTTGTTTTTTAAACTAAGCTTTCCATTTCCCCAGCCTACAAAAGAGAGCAATTTAAAATCTACATCCACCTGAGGCCTCTTCTCTGTTATAGCTTTCATCCGTTCTTGTACAACAGAGTGGCTTTGAAACTGCATTTTGAAGCTGTCTTCCATTTAAGTTGTTAACTAAAAAGAAAATGACACTGGATAAAGACGTCGGTGCGGCCTTTCCATCCTGGTTCCCAAACAAACAGTGAGGCTGCAACATCAGGGTAGCTGATAAGGAACCAATTTTTAAACATGAAATTCAATAAATTAAAAACATTGAAGAAGCCCTTGCTTTGCTCCATTCACATTTCCTGGATCTGTCTTACTATACACGTTTTTAACTTTCAGATGTCAGACTTTGGTAGCATGGTACAAATACATACTGCAAATTGAGAACTGTATATATAATCCAATGATATTTTTGATAAAACCTTATGTGTATGCATTGAAAAATGTTTTTAAAAATGCCCACTAGATTATTAACTGTGGTTACCCTTTGAGGAGGAGGGTGTGGAGAGAGGAGTTAGGAGTGCAAATTTCACTTTGTGTATCTGCTACCTGAATTTATCAACAAGCATGTGCTACTATAATATTTAATCAGTAAAATTAAACAAATATGTAATGTAAAAGTGCATGATCTAGGCTGGGCATAGTGGCTCACGCCTATAATCCCAGCACTTTGGGAAGCCAAGGCAGGCAGATCACCTGAGGTCAGGAGTTCAAGACCAGCCTGGCCAACATGGCGAAACCCCATCTGTACTAAAAATACAACAATTAGCCGGGCCTCTAATCCCAACTACTTGAGAGGCTGAGGCAGGAGAATCACTTGAACCCAGAAGGCGGAGGTTGCAGTGAGCTGAGATCATGCCACTGCACTCCAGCCTGGGCAATAAGAGCGAAACTCTGTCTCCAAAAAAAAAAAAATAGTGCCAATCGATTACATTTTACTGCTGAATATTTACATTCCACGTACCTGAACGTAAAAATTTAAGAAGAGGATGACTAACGTTAGCATATAAGATGACTGGAAGATGAGACAACCGAAGGGGAAGCCACACGGTTTCACGACGGCGCTCATGGTGTGCGTGATGGTGAGCACGAACTGCACCTGGGGACGGCAGAGAGGGCATCTCTGTGAGCGAGCCAGGCTGTGCCACACAGACACTGCGGCCAAGCTTGATCAATTCAGAAATCAACTCCTAGGACTCTTGGAATTATGTAGGAACAAAACAAAGCTGCTGAAGCAGCCCCCTCATCCAGAAATCTTATTTGAAATTAGTATGTGAAATTGCCCATGATTTCCTCATGGAAAAGTCGCAGTTAAAATTATTTAGACAAAAAGGATTTAACTTACACATTAATTTGAAAAGTAATCATCTACATTTCAAAGCAAGGAACTTTCCATTATAAGCTAATAGCATGCACAAAGGGCATTTCAACACAAAAAGTTTAATTCTTAAAAGGCCAATTTTGGAAAAAAAATGGGCAGCCTCATCACACATAAAAAGCCCTCTGACTTCTAAGATTTCTATTTCCTTTCCCCATCCATAAGCCACATGGAGAAAAGCTAAAAGAAGGGACAACATACCAGCTGAGCCTGTGTGAGATATTTCTTCCACCAAAGATACTTGTGCATAGATGGAAACACAGAAAGTCCATAGTAGGAGTACATAAGAATGTGGATAAAACTGTTCAGTGTTGGTCCAAAGAAACCTATAAAAGTACAGTATAAAAATCACTATTCTTCCAGGAAGGACTGTTCATTCTTCTTTGTCAAGTGAGATTCTCTCTCTGCATGGTAATTGAAAATGAGTAGCACATATGACATGATCATATAACAAAATCCACACTAATAAATTCCCCAATTACTGTGCCAGTTCTAGGATTCACCAAAAACTCCATGATAGAAGGAGTAGCCTGGGATGGTTTTTCAGAATGCCCCCCCCCCGCCACACAGGGGAACACCTTATCTACGAGGTTTTACTGTCTCTTTAACCGTCACTACTATCAGCTACTGAGGGAGGAAAAGAAATACTAGCTTAAAGCTGTTGGCAGAATTCCTCTGAAATAGAATTGTCTTTGCTTTTTAGCTAAACCTTTGATAAGACATATTGACAAAGAGCCTTTTGTACATGGCTGAACAGGGTGCTAGAGAGACAAAATATATTGCTTTCATAATTAAGTAAATAAATTCTGCCTGAAAGACACTTAGGGACCGGGAGGTGCTGGAGAAAGAATAAAGGAGACAGAGAAGGCTGGAGTGGCGGAGAAACTGGCCAGCGAGACCTTCCCAGTGATTGGCCATTGCAGAGACTTTTAGGATGAGGGATGTCTAAAATCCAGGCCCCTGCCATCAACCTCATGAAACGTCTCTGTAACTGCCTCCACCATAGGTGAATAAGGCTTCAGGAAACCATGGAGAAAGGGTCATGTACCATGCTGGGTCAGCTAAGCATTGAAAGGATTTAGCTGCAAGAGGTGAGATGCCACAGATGCATCACTTGTTGGAAATAAGGAAACTCAGTGTTGTGAGGATTTCATCAGTACATGAAAGTGCTTAGAACAATGCTTGGCACAAAGTGAATGCTCTTCAGCTGTCAGCCTGGGATCCAGATGGCTGTTCTGCGAGCTATCCTGTGGTGGGAGGGATTGTGGCATTAGAGGGCCATTTATTGGCTATGTCCCCTTGGAGACATTGATTTGACGTAAATTTTTATTTTCTTACCTGGAAAATAGGTATAATAATAATAACTAGCTCTTAAGTTTGGGATGAAATTAACTGAGATAATATATGAATTTAAAAGCACCGCACATATGCTGGCTAATAAATCAATTTAAATTCCCTAGCCTGGTTCTTTAATCCTAGATTAGTGATCTGGATAGCTAAATGCAAATTAATAAATAAGAAACAAAAGGTACAATAGCATGCATAGAGTAAATTCTCAACCAATACTGGCTGAAATAAACTGTTACGGCGCTTGAATTTATATGAAAACACAAACAGAGTTTCAGACTACCAAGCAGCATAGTATTAGTGGTATTTCTTTACCTACATGACTTTTCATTTCCATCAATTAATGAACCATGAGTAGTTGTTGCTTATGTTTGACTCCTGTGGAAATACAGCACCTTCCACAGTCACCATTTCACTGTGATACAGATTAAGGCATTTCAAAAAATTGAAAGTCTGCTCTGGTAGGTCAAAGTATCATTTTTCTAATATTCTTAAGCAGAAATTGTCACAGTATTTACAGGACTATGTCTGTACACAGTGATGATTTGGGTTTTAGATGCTTAGTGATTTGTAATGAAACTTGACAATCATAAAAATACTTAACCTTGGTAATTCTCCTCTAATATTGATTATAGTTGTCCTTCCTTAATAACTAAACTCAAGAAATGGATGTCTACCCGTCTAGAAGGACAGAGATCAATTCTTTCTTTCTTCCCCCTGCACTCACAGCAATTTCCTCCCTCACTCTAGTGTTCATTTGTACCTTCACAGTCACTGATACTCCAAATATCTCTGGGCACTTTTTTCCCTAATATCATCTCTACAAGATCCTAAATCCTGGAACAAAGTCATTTTGACTGAAGTTTTACATGTTCTGATTTTTCATATTGTATTTCTAAATTCTTGAGAACAAGACAGTATCAAATAGAGAGTACTGTTCCCTATAGCTCAGTGCATCTCAAACTGTAGGTCATAACTGACCCATTAGTGAATGGTGAAGTCAATGCAGTGAGAATTGTCATCAACTCTTTGTAAAACAGGATTAGGCCGGGCGTGGTGGCTCACGCCTGTAATCCCAGCACTTTGGGAGGCCGAGGCGGGCGGATCACAAGGTCAAGAGATCAAGACCATCCTGGCCAACATGATGAAACCCCGTCTCTATTAAAAGTACAAAAATTAGCTGGGCGTAGTGGCGCACGCCTGTAATCCCAGCTACTCGGGAGGCTGAGGCAGGAGAATCACTTGAACCCGGAGGCAGAGGTTGCAGTGAGCCGGGATTGTGCCACTGCACTCCAGCCTGGCGACAGGGCGGGACTCCATCTCAAAAAAAACAAAACAAAAAAAAACAAAAAAAAACAGGATTAAAAAATATATACAGTACATCATATAGAGCCAGGGTAAATACTGTTTCATAAAATATCATACAAAACAGAGAAATATGAATGAGGGCCAGGCATAGTAGCTCACACCTCTAATCCTAGCACTTTAGGAAGCTGAGGGGGGAGGATTGCTTGAGCCCACGAGTTCAAGACCAGTCTGGGCAACACAGAGAGACCTTGTGTCTACACTTTTTTAAAAAATAAAAGTGTGCTTTATTATGAAGAAAATTTAAATATAACCAACAATACTGAAAATAATGTAAATGGCATTTATAGCCTTGGTCAAAATTCTTTATTAAACAGGCATTTGTTTGCTGTTCCATGAATAGTTAACAATTAGTTTATGCAACAAAATAGGTAACTTGAAAAAGTGAGTAAGAATACAGAATTATGAACCAGGAATTGGGTTCTTTTGTGTTTTTTCTTAACAGACACGGCTTTTAAAATAAAATCTGAAATATAAAGCAAGTCATCTTCATGTAGAGAGCTCTCTTTTCCTACAAGGAGGTTTTGCAAAAATGTTAAACAGTGTTCTAAAATGTGGCTGAAGTTATGCTTTACATACTTTAACTTCTTATATATACATTATCCAATTAACATAACCACATTTTCATATACAAGTGGGACCATAAACATTAATAAGACAACACTACAACACTAGCACAGAGTAATTTTACCCATGTATATATTTTCATTTGAAACCTGTTTCCCAAAATGAAATCACTCATTTAAAAGCAAACAACTGGTTGGAATTAATGTCTCTAGACATGGGTCATGGGGCCTAGAAATCATGTAAGAGTATATTGCTTTGGTTGAATATAATTAATCTCATGTCTACACTTTTTTGTTTTGTTTTGTTTTTTGAGACAGAATCTGGCTGTGTCTCCCAGGCTGGAGTGCAGTGGCGTGATCTCAGCTCACTGCAACCTCTGCCTCCCGGGCTCAAGCCATCCTCCCACCTCAGCCTCCCGAGGAGCTGGTGGTATTACAAGTGCACGTCACCACGCCCAGCTAATTTTTTTTTTTTTTTTTTTTTTTTTTTTTGGTAGAGATGGGATTTTGCCATGTTGCCCAGGCTGGTCTTTAACTCCTGAGCTCAAGCGATTTCGCCTGCCTTGGCCTCCTAAAGTGCTAGGATTACAGGCATGAGCCACTATGCCCAGCCCTACCAAAAAAAAAAAAAAAAATAGCTGGGCATGGTGGTATATGCGGGTAGTCAGTTAACTAGGAAGATGGCTTGAGCCCAGGAGGTTAAGGCTGCGGTGAGCTATGACTACACCACTGCATTCCAGCCTGGGCAGAAGAATGAGACCCTGTCTTAAAAAAATAAAAAAAGAAGAAGGGCCGGGTGCGGTGGCCCACGCCTGTAATCCCACCACTTTAGGAGGCTGAGGCGGGTGGATTGCCTGAGATCAGAAGTTCAAGACCAGCCTGGCCAACATAGTGAAACCCTGTCTCTACTAAAAATACAAAAAATTAGCTGGGCGTGGTGGTGGGCGCCTGTAATCCCAGCTACTCAGGAGGTTGAGGCAGGAAAATTGCTTGAACCCAGGAGGTGGAGGTTGCAGTGAGCTGAGATCGCGCCACTGCACTCCAGCCTGGGCAACAAGAGTGAAATTCCATCTCAAAAAAAAAAAAAAAGAACAAATATGAATGAGTGCACTGGGTTGTGATATAAAATGTATTTCTTATTGTAATTCTGTTTTTAAAAAATGGAAAATCTGGTAGGTCCTTCAGAGATGTAACCTTAATTTTTCAGAATGTGAAAACAAGAAACCCTAAAAGCTGAAATGCCTCGCCTCGATCTGTTTCACGGGGAAGTGGTGACTGTGGAAGGTGATGTATTTCCACAGGAGTCAAAACAGCGCCCGGGATTGGAGTGAAGCAGCTCCCGCTGGGGTATGTGCCTCTGACCATGGGACATATGATGTGTGGAAAAGAAAACAGTTTTAAATTTAAGGTTCGGCCCAGATTTTGCCTGTATCAAAGACCAGACACTAGAATACATGACCCCTGGCAGACACGGGCATCCTGCTGCGGCAAGGCCGGCGCTCTAGGCCTCCCTTCATGCTCTCCTGATCTGCATGCGATGCTTAATACAAGACAGCACCAGTGGTCTCTAAGAGCCATTCCTCAAAACGGAAAAATTAACAAAATAACTTACTTTGTCCACAAGGTATCCAGTTCAAGACACACCACCAGATGTTAAACATAGAAGCATGATGATATACATGAAGAAAAGTAATCTGACTCGTTTTTTTCCGCAAAACGAAGAAAATTGTGTCCAGGAACTCTACTGATTTGGAGAAATAGTACCACCAAAGCACCTTGGCTACCTATAGAAATTTGTAAAGGGGAGAAAAGGGTGAGAAATGGCAGTGTTCCTGGTGCTGCCCCACTGCTCGGCCTTCTGCCTGCTGCCTGTGGTTTCCTGCTGTTTCTTTCTCACTGCTGAAAAGGCAGCTCACCTGGTGTCCTTGTCTCCAGTTTCTCCTTATTTCAAGCAATCCACCCACCTCTAGTGAGAGATGAGTTATTTTTCCAGAACACATGTGTGATCACGTTCCTCCTCTGCATCCGCAGAACCCAAGTTCATGACTCCTGGCTTGAACCCAGGATCTCCCATGGGCTTGGGTGGCTGCTGTTTCCACCAGCCTCCTGCAAGCTCCCCACCACGGTGTCCTGTGTGCTGGAACAGTGGCCTGCTTACTCCTCCTCCAGCCATGAAAACTCTTCTCTCTGCTCCCAGCACTCCTTTCCTACTTCAGGTCTGGCATATTCTTTAATATTCCTCTTAAATGCCACCTTTTCTCTGGAACTTCACCCAGCCCTTTCCTTTTTCAGGCTGAACTGCTGCTTCATTTGTATTCAAATTACTTTAACTGTGGCTCCATAATCAATAGACATAATAGGGTGTAGCTAGTGTTACGAATCTATCAATAGATTGCAAATCACTCAAAGGCAGAAACTGTCACTCACATTTGCTCAGGGCCTAGAACTCAACAGGAGGTCATTATTATTTGTTACATTAAATTATAACTTTCCTCTGCTCTTCTAAAGTATATATGTTTTTTGTCTCTTAGACTGTCCAAGGGCAGTCTATGGCTACATCTTTTGTGTCTTTTCCTCAGATGACTAGATTAAAAATCAAGATGTTATTCATCCTTGCTAATGGTGGGAGGTCATGATAACACATCCTTTCCCTCCTAAGGCCCTCAAGTCAGTCTCATCTATAGGGAGACATTTCTTTAGTTAAAGGCACTGTGTTTTTACCACTAACATTAAACATAAGATATTTTTAAAGACATTGCATAATAGGAATCTTGAAATTAAAATATCATGCTCTACTGTCTACTTCCCAAGAAGACCATCATAAGGTACGGCCGCAACCGTCTTAATGTCTGATGAGATAATTAACCTTTAGAAATATTAAACTACAAATAAATATAAAACAACCTTTAGAGAACTGTATGGTATGCACTGGTTTGTGGTAATGCATTAGAAATAAAATGGGTGCAGAGAAATCACTATATCTTACTTTATTTGTATTGCAGTTTTGAAGACGTTTTTAAAATGTCCCACTTTGGGAGGCCGAGGTGGGTGGATCACGAGGTCAGGAGTTAAAGACCATCCTGGCTAACAAGGTGAAACCTCATCTCCACTAAAAATACAAAAAAATTAGTTGGGTGTGGTGGTGGGCACCTGTAGTCCCAGCTACTCAGGAGGCTGAGGCAGGAGAATGGTGTGAACCCAGGAGGCGGAGCTTGCAGTGAACCGAGATCACGCCACTGCACTCCGGCCTGGGGGAGAGTGAGACTCTGCCTCAAAAAAGAAAAAAAAAAAAATCCATCTTGACTGGGCGTGGAGGCTCACGCCTGTAATCCCAGCACTTTGGGAGGCTGAGGCAGGTGCATCACCTGAGGTAGGGAGGCCGAGGCAGGTGGATCACCTGAGGTCAGGAGTTCAAGACCAGCCTGGTTAACATGGTGAAACCCCGTCTCTATTAAAAATACAAAAATTAGCCAGGTGTGGTGGCGGGTGCCTGTAATCCTAGCTAATCGGGAGGCTGAGGCAGAAGAATCGCTTGAACCCAGGAGGCAGAGGTTGCACTGAGCCGAGATGGCACCACTGCACTCCAGCCTGGGCAACAAGAGTGAAACTCTGTCTCAAAAAAAAGGTCCATCTTGATATTAAAAGATTTTAGTTAAATGGTTTTTACCATCTGTCTTAATAATATGTCATGTTTAGTTATAGAAAATTTCAAACATTCACTAATGCAAGGAGAATAAGTCAAATGAACACTCAGCATCCAATGCCGAAATTCAGAATTTTCAATATGATTCCAATCTAGTATTTATCAATTCCACTTCCCACCATTTTGGGGGGCAGGGGAGTGGGAAGTATAGAATATTATAAGCAAATCTCAGGTATCACTTTATTTATAAATCCTTCTGATAGGGAGACTTTTTAACATAACCATGAAGTCATTCTGTTGTCTATCAACATTAACAATTCTTTAGTATCTTCTAATGGCCCAATCCATGTTCAAATTTCTCGGTCTCAAAAATGTCGTTGTTTTCCTAGCCTCCAGAATGTCTTTTTATAATTAGTTTAAATCACGATCCAAAGAAGGTCCATCTTCCATTGGTTTGAAATGGTTTTTAAGTCTCTTCTAACCAATAACAGTTCTCTTTGCTCCTCCCATTCTTTCATGTCTTTTATTTCTTAGAAAAACTAGATCCTTTATGAAGAATTTCTAATATTATAGGTTTGTATGATTGTTTCGTAGTATCATTTGTTTCTCTACACATGCGTTTTGTTACTGGCAATTAGATTTACAGGCTTGATTAGACTCAGGTGTAATGTTTTTGGTACGAATACTTCAGAGGGTTCTGTCTACTTCCTACTGCCTCACATCAGGAGGTACGTAATTTCCGGCTGTTCCACTGATACTCAAACTGAACAGTGAGTTCAGGTATTGAGTCGTCATTATGAAGTTTCTATTCAATTTTCACCGAATAGTTTTACCATCCACAGGTGATTGCTGTCAGATCCATGATATAGTTTAGATGTTTGTCCCCTCCAAATCTCATGTTGAAATGTCATCCCCAATGTCGGAGGTGGGGCCTTGGTGGGAGGTGTTTGTTTGGGTCACGGTGGCAGATCCCTCATGAATGGCTTGGTGCCCCTCCTGTGGTGAGTTACTGTAAGATCTAATTGTTTGAAAGAGTCTGGGACCTCCTTGTGCCTTGCTCCCTCTCTTGCCATGTGACATGCCTGCTCCCCCTTCACCTTCCACCATGATTATAGGCTTCTTGAGGGCCTCATCAGAAGTAGATACCAGCACCATGCTTTCTGTACAGCCTGCAGTACCATGAGCCAAAATGAAACTCTATAAATTACCCAGCCTCAGGTATTCCTTTATAGCAATGCAAAACAAACTAATACGATCCATTATTTCACTAGGAGTTGCAAAATGGTGATTTTTCTAATTGTTACCTAAGCATTTTTCTTTTCTCTAGAGAAGAACTTTCCCTTTTCATCGATTTGGAAATTCACATATGAAAGGCAAGATAAATGTTTAATTCTTTCCCTCTAATTTTTTTTTCCTAAAATGAATTGGTGCTCTAACAACCTTCAAAAGGTAACAATAAGAGCTTTTACAATCAGTATCATTTTAAACTCACAGTTTTTTACATATTTAATGTTTCAGTTAATTCCAGTCAGTATTCTTTTTGATGTTCAACCTGCTCCATTTTTAGGCAGTGGGGTCCCTTCCAGGCAAATCCTCTTTTTGTGATGATCCTTGTAGTCCTGGATAGCTGCTTCGCTTTCTCATAGATATCCTGGGTTCATCTTATAAACATTTCCTGCCCCAAACCAGGAAGAGGCCCATTATCTAAGAAACCTAATCTTTTCTGGAGAAAATTCTATTTAGAGAGCACAATCTAGGTAATCACTGCTCGTTGTACTGGGTTGTCATAGACTAGGCCTTTTCTGTAGACAGAGCTGAAAATTAAAATTTTTAAAAACAAATAAAGTTAATTCTGATATTTCCAATTTGAATCTATCATTAATGAGTTTTAGTTTAACTTTTTTATTGGTATCTCTTTTTTTCCATGTTTCAAATCGAAGTGCCTACAGATATTAACATTATTATACACTTAATTTATCCCATAGTGTACTATCACAGTGTCAAAAAAGCAATACCGATGTTATTAACAATAAAAAAATTACTGAATACTATTAAGATATATCTCACTAGGGGCGTTCAGTCAAAAAACTGTTTTAAAGTCACTTGAAATAGTTCCTTGGGTGATTATGTCACCAACTTAATATATAGGTATATTCATTTATTTAAGTTTGTTTCCAACTTTTAGGGGGCGGCTGCCTTGCTTTCTTTTTAAATTTAATTTTGTTTTATAATTATGTAAAGCACTCAGTGGTTCCAAAATCAAATATAGCACAAGGTACATTCAGAGAATTCTGGCTTCTCCTGTATCCCCTCTGCCCTGTTCCCTCCCCTCAAAGGAAATGCTTTTTTTTTTTTTTAGATGGAGTCTTGCTGTGTTGCTCAGGCTGGAGTGCAGTGACACAATCTCGGCTCACCACAACCTCCGCCTCCCGGGTTCAAGCGATTCTCCTGGCTCAGTCTCCTGAGTAGCTGGGACTACAGGTGCCCACCACCATGCCTGGCTAATTTTTGTATTTTTAGTAGAGACGGGGTTTCACTATGTTGGCCAGGCTGGTCTCGAACTCCTGACCTCGTGATCCACCCACCTCAGCCTCCCAAAGTGCTGGGATTACAGGCGTGAGCCACCATGCCCGGCAGAAACACTTTTTATTAGCTTTTAGTTTATCCTCTCGTTTCTTTTTAAAAATATAAGCAAATACACATACACATTCATATCATTTATTGCACAAAGGGTGCTATCCTATAAACACGGTCTGCAAGTTGCTTTTGTTCATGTAACTATATCCCAGAGACAATTCTGTAGCGGTATAGAGCTCTTCCTCACTCCACTTGGTAGAGGCATCTGCTACGTGGATGTGCTGTGGTTTATTCAGTTGGTCCTCTATAGAGGGATAGTTGGAAATCATCTTTGTTACCAAGCATTTCTATTAGAACAGGAACCCCTTTCTTATCTAATTCTAGCCTCAGCCCTCTATCTGGAAGGAGAAAACCTCCTCTCCTTGTCAATGGGAACTGGTTATAGTTGGTTGATTTGCTTCTAGTGGCTCACCCGGATGTCAGCTTCCCCTGCGCTGGTAAGATCTTGACACTGTAAGTTGTAGCCTCCTTCCCAAGTGGAGAGAATGAGCTGCCAAAGAACCAAGAAAGAAAGAAAAACAAACATCAGCACAAGAATTTGGATACAGACTGAATTTCCCATTCATGTCTCTGGCATCTGTTCAAGGTTTGAGTAGGAATTTCCCAGAATTTGAGTTTGTCTCAATCCTATCCTCAAACACCTATTATCAGGGGACTTATTTCCTGCTGTTGAACTGAAATCAATGGCTATTTCCTTAATTAACATATGTTACCTCTAACTACATTGGCCAAAATAACAGATTTTAACTATCATTTGATTCACAAAATTTTATGTAAGGAATTACCTAGTCATGTTTCTACAAGTGTAATGTAGAATTAGTTGAAAACAACTGTGAGAAAACTACAGTAAAAGTTTAATATTTTGTATTGGTTTAAATATATTTAATCATCTCAATAATTTTTAAAAATACATATATTGCCATTTTACAGATATTAAAAACAGGGTTCAGTAAGGTTCTTAAACCATTTTCTTCACTGTATTTATGCTACTTGGTAATCAAACAATTTGGTGGTTAATTGATTAATGTCTGTCTTCCCCATTACTCTCAAAAACCAACAAGCTCCAAAAAATTTATGCATCTGTTTTTGCTCATCTTTGTATCTACAGTTCCTTGCCTAGTACCTGCTACATGGTAAGTGTTCAGTAAACATTTGATGAGTGTATGATTTGCTCAAGATTACATGACTAGAAAGTGGTAGAAGGATGATTAGAATTCAGACTTCCTAATTCATTGTTTGGTGTACTTTCCACCTCATGAGAAAATGAGCTTTTTTATTCTTTGTTGAAAATGCTATGAAAGAAGTTTTCTCCCTGTAAAAAGTTAAAATTCTAGAATATAAGGCATTTGGGATTGATTTGGATCAGGTATTACAGGCGAAAGGCCTACGATTTAATATTTTCTGCTGCCTTAGAGATGTATAAAATTCATACACAATATCCATTAAAATACATATACACAGCTGAGAGGGTTTGGATGTTAATTAATTGTTAGAGAGAGAGAGATTACTAAATAACATTTAGAATGTTTTAGAACCTTTGTGAGACTTCTTCACTGTCCTGATATACCTCTCTTTCCTTCTAACAAAAACCCTTTCTGTTAACATCATGCTAATTAAAGATTATCAATATAAATAAGTCCAGTGAAAGAAGAAAACCTTGGGTTTTCCTGAATGGGATCTACTACAAATCAGGTCATTTCCCAGTATCTCCCAGGGGATTTATGCTCTTAGTTCTCAACTGGGAATCAGCGACTGGCTAGAGAGGACCCAGAAAGACCTTAAACTACATATAAATTTTGGTGTGTTCGTGCATTTTTTCAAACTAAGAAAGCTGTTTAACTTTGTGTACAAGGATTAATTAAAAACCTCTATGGTCAGGTTGTAGTTCTGTAGTAAGGGGCTCTAATCTCTACTCCGCAATTAATACAGTTATAGAGTAACTCCTGACTGTGGAGAGGACAGGGCATATTCTGTTTCCCCATGTTTCCTGCTTTAGTTAGATTTATCCGGGCTGTCCCCATTCCTGTGGCATCTGTGCAGAACTACCTGACAATTATGAATAGGCAGCCAAGCTAGAGAGGCTCTGTCTCTCCCTGGACCATTCTTAATCCCCTTACTGGTGTAGGAGTCATCCAACCTATGTGTTGAAGAAAAGGAAGCAAGGCTGTCAAATAGGGTTAGGTGTAAGGAGGTGTGGACTAAATCACTTCAAAATATACTTAGAATCCACCAGCTTCTTCCCATCTTCACCACCTTAATCCAAGATGTTAACATCTGTTGCCTGTAGTACTGCAATGATCTCCTAACTGGACTTTTGCTAACATTCTTGCCAACTCACCCTCATGGTCCATTTTCTATGTAGGAGCTAGAGTGATCTATTTTAAGAGGGAGATAATAGCACTCCCGTCATTAAAATCCTCCAATAGCTTTCCATTACACTTAGAGTGCAAGCCAAATTCCTTCCAAGGGCCCAATGTCATCTGCCATCTCTCCACCTCATCTTGAACCACTGATCCTCTGTCCACTGTGTCATTCAGTCTCAACTCCAATGTCACCTTTTCAGAGGCTGCCCCATCACCAGCCTCTCACTCTTTCTTACAGGGCAAAGGTTGTGTTCTAGAATCTACAGTCGAATCTGACAGTGTGGGAACTCAATACATATTTGTTGAAAGACTGTTAATAATTATTGCGGTGATTTTCTGGCTTAAGCAAACATCTGCTGACCCCTAACAAGTTAGCAAGGTTAAATCAGTGTGTCACCTGACTAGTATCTATTAAACATACCCCCAGAGTGTCAAAGAAGACCTTTTGCCTGCTCTGAAAGAGGTCACAATCAAAGAGAGGAGACTGGGTGGCAATCAATGGTAGTGATTTTGAACTGAACTAAGTGATTTTACACCTATACAAAGTTTAAGAGAAAGAGTGGGTAAGCAGTAGATAAAATCAGTGGTAGGCAATGGGCTCAGTGCAGATACGTTCTTCCTAGAAAGAAGACATTTACCTCGTTGTTCAACAACTAAACGGTTGTTCTTGCTCCTGTTGATGGTGACTACTGTTCAACTAGCACTTTACAATTCACAAAGCATTTTCACATTTACCAACTCCTACCCTGTACTAGTCCATAGGCTCTTCAAGTGTAGAAGCTGTGTCTTATCCATCTTATACCTTCAGGGCTTCCTATTCAGTGCCTAGGAAAAGCTCACTACATGCTGATTGAACAGAAGTCATCAATCCTTACAAGTCACTCAAGAGTTATATAGGAGAAATATTGTATCTCTGCCTTATAGATAAGTTGCCTAAGGTTTGGAAAGTCTAAGTTAAACTGCTGTAAAATTACACAGAAAGTGACAGAGCTAAAACAAACTTGTATCTTCTGACTCCATTACACCAAAGCTCCACCCAAACAGGTACTAGAACTGCTGGTGTGGTTGGACATGCAGGCTGGCCCTTCTGCTGCTGCTGTCACTTCTTTTTTATTTTACTTTAAATTCTGGGATACATGTGCAGAATGTGCAGGTTTGTTACATAGGTATACAAGTGCCATGGTGGTTTGCTGCACCTATCAACCCCTCATCTAGGTTTTAAGCCCCACATGCATTAGGTATTTGTCCCAGTGCTCTCCCTACCCTTGCTCCCCACCCCCCGACAGGCCCGGGCGTGTGATGTTCCCCTCCCTGTGTCCATGTGTTCTCATTGTTCAACTCCCACTTATAAGTGAGAACATGTGGTGTTTGGTTTTCTGTTCCTGTGTTAGTTTGCTGAGAATGATGGCTTCCAGTTTCATCTATGTCCCTGCAAAGGACATGAATCTCATTCTTTTTTATGGCTGCATAGTATTCCATGGTGTATATGTGCCACATTTTCTTTATCCAGTCTATCATTGATGGGCGTTTGGGTTGGTTCCAAGTCTTTGCTATTGTAAATAGTGTGCAGCTGTCACTTATGGAAAACAATCCAAGAGTATCTTGCCTTCTGCTATATAGAGAAACGAATCCCATAAATTACTATCTTGCTAACTCATCTAGGGAGCTAAAATTCAGCTAGTAGAGAACCTAAAATAAAAATGGTCCTTTCAGTGTCAAGTAGATTCGTGAGCACCTATGTGATATAATTTTAAGAGTTGTCAGCTGGGGGTGGCGGCTCACGCCTGTAATCCCAGCACTCTGGGAGGCCGAGGCGGGTGGATCACCTGAGGTCAGGAGTTCGAGACCAGCCTAACCAACATGGTGAATCCCCATCTCTACTAAAAAAAAAAAAAATTAGCCAGGATTGGTGGTGGGTGCCTGTAATCCCAGCCACTCGTGAGGCTGAGGCAAGACAATTGCTTGAACCCAGGAGGTGGAGGTTGCAGTGAGCTGAGATTGCGCCATTGCACTCCAGCCTGGGTGACACAGCAAGACTCTGCCTCAAAAAAAAAAAAAAGTTGTCAGCATGGCTTTTTTGACCCCAAAATTCCATCTCCTATACTGACTGATGCCTAAAATTCCATTATGAGAGCTTCATTCCAGTCATTTATGGTAATATTAATAGTTATTAAGAATGGTACATATTAGAATAATGCATAGAATAAACTCTCAAGAGAACTTTCATTTTAAGGCAAGGATTTGTTTTCTTTTAGAACTCAAGATCACCAGAAAGGCAGCTATATTTGTGCCATTATCCACCGCTTATAGCTTGTATGAATGATTTTATACAAGCTATAAAATCACTAAAAATTTTTGTTTTTGTTCTCTTTGTCCCTCTTTTTTTTTTTTTTTCTACAGCAAGTTATTTAACACTTTTAGATTTCCCCTTCCTTTACATTAAAATAACCTTGGTTGTACAGATGGGGCAATCATCCTTGTTCCTTCTCCTGTAAAATGACCTTGGTTTGGTGCTTCACAGAGGAATTTGGAGCACAGGATGTAACAAAGGGCCACTAGAGCTGAGCTAAAACGTCAGTGTTCCAAAGACATACAGAGTATTCTTTAAGGGAATATATATATTGGCATTTCAGTCAAACTAACTGCATATGATGTTTAAGTTAATTTTTAAAATACTCGGTTAATCACTGTCTACTCTCAGGCAAATTATGAAACTTTTCTAAGCCTCAGTATCCTAATCTGTAAAAGGAGAAAATTGTAACATGATCTTGAAAGGCCCATTTGATCTACATTGTGAATCTAAATTATAATTAGACTAGAGACTAAAGAAATAGGTCTAGGCCAGGCGCAGTGGCTCACACCTGTACTCCCAGCACTTTGGGAGGCCAAGACAGGAGGATCACCTGAGATCAGGAGTTCAAGACCAGCCTGGGCAACACAGTGAAACCCTGTCTGTACTAAAATTACAAAAAGTAGCCGGGCATGGTGGGGAGTACCTGTAATCCCAGCTATTCAGGAGGCTGAGGCACGAGAATCGCTTGAACCTGGGAGGCGGAGGCTGCAGTGAGCTGAGATTGTGCCATTGCCCTCCAGGCTGGATGATAGAGCGAGACTCCATCTCAAAAAAAAAAAGAAATAGGTCTAAATTGGGATAGAAAGATTCAAGTTATAAACAAGGACTTCCAGGATTTTCAGAAAGAATAATATCAAATGCTGGAATAAGTTTTTAGGTCTTAAAGTAACCTTGCATAGTTCTGCCAGGCTAGATGTGGTTGTTTCTGTTAATAAAAACTGCTAGTTACTGGACTTCAGCTTTGGCTACATAAACACTTACCTCTGCCAGCATGTACGCGGAGAGAAGTGTGATTCCAAGATTATACAAGGTGAGGATACCCCTGAGAGAAAGAGCAGGTCTGTTCTTCATATACTTGTTACCCAGCCATATTGAGAGCAGATACATGACAGTAAGAAAAAAGGTAGGAAGGTAAGAGTCCAACATGAACCACCCTCTGACTCGAGAATCTGAAAAGAAACACATACAGTGAGGATCCTGAGGAATGATGCTCCTGTTTAGTCATCAGTATTGTCACATACATTGCATTTGTACACACCAGCACAACAGGGAACAACTCCATACAACATTAGGTAGGCTGGCCTGGGTTTAGAGTTCAGGGGAAGAGGAAGCCTGTGGGCTGAATCGGTAAAGGTTTCATGGAGCAAACAGGGCTTAGGCTGAACACTGAATGAAAGGGACAAGAAGTAAAGGTGTGAAGTGACAGTTCTTGAATGCCTATTTTGGAACAGTTACTGCATTTATTTACTCTAAATTAATATGAAGTAAGTACTATTATGCAATTTTATGGATGGAAAAAAAAACAGCTCAGAAAGCTTTAGTAACTTTCAAAAGGCTACATCATAGTCGGCAGTACAGTCAGGATTTGAACCAGTCACATCTGCCTCCCAGCCCCATGATACCTTGCAGCTGTCCTCCCATGGAGAAGATCAGAGCAGTCAGAGGAAAGAAGGCATATCGATACTGTATCCTAATTCCTAAAGCCCACACAGCTCCGAATTTGCCTAGTATCAGTAATGGAAGGGGTTTAGAGTTCAGCTGGTTCAGAGAAAGCAATAGGATGACCGTGCAGCAAGCCTGGAGGCTGCAGACAGCAGAGGCAAAGCCTGGGAGCTGTGATTCAGAACTGAGGACCCAGATCTGGCCATGGGACTGGACGTTTACACAGCAGGGAGGCAAGCAGCTGAATACATCAGGGCCCCTTACACTGCAGAGTGAATATTTAAAAGCCTAAATGAAACCCACATGATAGAGCTACAATATAATTAGTAACACCTGAAAATCATTGTAGACACTAAATGATTTGTGTTCTCTATTCTGCTCTTTTTGTTTGTTTAAATAAAGAAAATGATTTGGCCCAGAATTATAAAAATTGCATGCTGCTTTTAACCTCCACAAATGGAGTTGTAGTGAGCTGGTTTCACCAACAGGCAATGGCCTTTTCTTGAATTTTTTGTTTTCTAAGTCCCTTTCTGGTGCATCCTACCCTGTATACCCCAGCCTCTTGTTAAACCACCCGCCCTACAGAGTACCATTTCTACAAGGCAAGTGCCTTCTGAAGCTCTGACTGTCCCATCACTTATTTTATAAATATCTCCCATTGGTGATAGAGATAAAAAGGTTAGAAAGCTCTTCTCAGCATTCATGTGACTAACAGATACCACCTTTCATACAGCAGGCTTGCAATCACCTGTCATAAGTCTGTGCTGTGTGTCACTTCCTAATGTCCATCTCCATATCTGAACCCTACTCATCTTTTAATGCCCAGATAAAGGTCCTGACTTCTGAAGGGAGACATTTCCTACTGTGTTTTCATATTTATAGCTCCTCATATGCATAGCAAGACAATTATTATCATTTTCTAATTCACATATTATTATGGCTATGATACTGTTACTATAACATTTACTGAGCACTTATTCTGTGCCAGGCACTATTCTGAAGGCTTTTACATGTATTAACTTATTTGATTCTCAAAGCAATCCCATTATATAGGTGATAATATCATCCCAGTTTACCCTTAAGAAAAATTGAGCTGTAGAGGCCTAGAAAAGTGAAATGACTTGCACTAAACTGCTACGCTACTTCTTGTTATGGTGTTAGACTGAATTGTGTCCCCCACGAAGATGCCTTCAAGTCCTAACTCCTGGTATCTGTGAATGTGACATTATTTGAAAATAGAGTCTTTGCAGATATAATATAGCTAAGATGAGGTTATACTGGATTAGGGTGGGCCCTAAGCCAATGACTAGTGTCCTTATAAGAAGGAGAGGTCTGAATACAAGGACAAAAGAGAAGACGGCCATGTGAAGAGGGAGGCAGAGATTGGAGTGATGCATCTCCAAGCTAAGGAACACCAGAGATTGCCACCAACCACCAGAAACTACGGGGAGTCATGGTACAGAATCTTCCCTAGAACCTCAGAGGGAACAAGGCTCTGCTGACACCTTGATTTCAGACTGTTGGCCTCCAGAATTGTGAAAGAATACATTTCTGCTATTTAAGCCACCCAGTTTGTGGCACTTTTTATGGCAGCCTAGGAAACAAACACACATGGTTTAGTATTTAATTGATTTCCAGTAGTTTCAGATGTGCTGGCTTTACCTCCCCAACTATAGTACATGCTCCAGGAGACAGCCACTAGGTCTTATATCTCTACTCTGTCTGACTCATACCCACGTAGTGCTGAGTTAAGAGGAAACATTCATTAAATGCATATCCATTGGCACATTGAGTCAAGCACATACTGCAAACTAATATAGCACCTGAGGTTTTTGTTTTCTTTTGTCACAGTGCTGTAAATGTTTGCTACAGTTGTTAAGGATAATCATAGTTGTTTTAGCCAAAAGATAGGAACAAATGCTTGTAATAAACTTTCTTATCTTTGGGACTTGAGAAGTGTTAGCTCTTCCTCTGAGTCAGTATTTGCTCAGAACAATACCCCTTGATGGTACTAACATGGTGTGGGCAAAATCAGAAGAGGCTAGGAGACACCGAGAGGTTTATTCGGTGATGTGCCAGTCAGCATCAGGGTGTGAGACTTTTAGGAAGAAAAAAGGATTCCTGATGGCTTACATGCTAGACACCTTGTCAGTGTGGAGCTCATCTGATTCCACTGTCAACTGTCAATTTTACAATCTCCTTGCTACAAAGGAAAATTCCATAAAATGACCAATGCAGAGTAAACAACTGTAATCCTTTCCTCAATTGATCCCACATCCACATAATTCCAGATCACGCCAATCTTACTGGCAGCAAAGCTCAGTGAACTTGGCGCAGACAAGTTGTTGTTTAACTGTCTAGTCGAAGTGTCAAACAGAAAACCACTGTCACCAACAAATCATACTTCCTCCTGGATCTTGCATGCCTAAGCGAGAGTGCCCCCGGGGCCTGCATGCCTAACTAAGAGAGGGGGCTCCGGGTCCTGCATGCCTAACTAAGGGAGGGGGCTCTGGGTCCTGCATGCCTAAGGGAGGGGTCCCGGGTCCTGCATGCCTAAGGGAGAGGGTCATGCCCTCTACACTGAGCTGTTCTCCTTTCTACCCACTAGAACTGTAAGGGAGAGAACATAGTAAAAGTAGGTTAGAAGATAAAGATATTCTGCCCTGCCTACCCCACAGAGTCATCAGGAGGTTAAATGGAAAAAGCAAAAAAACCTATGTGAAAGGATTTTTTCAAAGCTGTATAGAATCAGTATCATTATATTAAAACTATATAGTCATGCATTTAGAACAGTTAATAGAGCCCATGGAGAAAATGGAGAATGGCCTAAATACTCAAGTGATTGTTTAAAGATCTTGAGAAACAGGAAAACCTCCTCATTCCTTGCTCTCTCACTCCTCCAATAGGGCTGAGGAAATAACTTGTAGAGAACTAAGGACTTTTCACAGTTCTGTGAGCCAATAAGGCTCAAGTAAAATGAAACCTTCTGTCTAGAATTCATTCATTTATTTGGAAAATATACAGTGCTGAATATGTTCCCAGAACTGTAATAAACCCTGGAGATAAATGGTGAGTAAAACAGCCAGGGTTCCTGCCCTTCTGGGAGAAATCGCTGTTGGTAACAATGAAGTATCTGAAGGAAGTAAACAAGGGTTGAAACAGAATGATGAGGGACCACAGCAGACCCCTCTGGATGCCTGAGCCTGCAGATACTCCCAAACCCTGTAGGTACCATGCTTTTTCCTGTACATATACACCTATGGAAAATTTATAAATTAGGCATAGTAAGAGATTATAACAATATACTATAATAAAAGTTATGTGAATGTGGTCATCTCTCTATCTGAAAATATCTTACTGTATTGTGCTCCCCTATTTTTGGACCATGGTTGACCACGGGTAACTGGAACTGCAGAAAGCGAAACTGCTGCTAAGGGGGGACTACTGTACCTTAGAGAGGCAAAGCCCAACTGAAAAGGCAACGTTTAAGCTGACACCTCAAGTGTGACAGGAACTGACTCATCTGGAGGGAGGGGTAGGAGATCCTAGGAAGGAATTCCAGGCTCAGGGAATAGCACGTAAAAGAATTTTACATATTTGCAGAATTAAAAGATGGCTTGAGCAGCTGTATGAAAGCCAGTGAGGACGACGGATACTGACTGAGTTGGAGAGGTTGCTGGGGTTAGACAGCCCAAGGGTGCGCAGTCCATGATAAGAAGTTTGGTTTTTACCTGAGAGCAGTGGGATGACACTGATGAGTTTTAAGCTACAGTGCCATGCAATATGACTTAGGTCTTTAGAATGTCATTCCAGCTGACACTGAATAAATGACTGGAAGGGGCAAGAGTGGAAGAGGGGAGGCCTGTTAGGAGGCCACTGCAGTACAGTAAGCGACTGGTGATGAAGGAAAGATGGAGAGATGTCTAAGCTCATCCTACCTACGGGCCCCGGGCAGAGAAAGCGCACACATCTTTTTTTTTTTTTTTTTTGAGACAGAGTCTCACTCTGTTGCCCAGGATGGAGTGTAGTGGCGCGATCTTGGCTCACTGCAAACTCTGCCTCCTGGGTTCAAGTGATTCTCCTGCCTCAGCCTCCTGAGTAGCTAGGATTACAGGCATAAGCCACTACGCCTGGCTAATTTTTGTAATTTTAGTAGAGACGGGGTTTCACCATGTTGGTCAGGCTGGTCTTGAACTCCTGACCTCATGATCCGCCCACCTCAGCCTCCCAAAGTGCTGGGATTACAGGCATGAGCCTCCACACCCAGCCAGCGCACACATCTTTAAAGGGAATTTATCAAGGCATCTAAGGGCAGAAATGTCACATATAACTAGGATGTAAGAAAGGTGGAAGATGAATGGGCAGTGGAGAGGAAACAAGAAAGCAGCATCCTTTAGAAGGAAAGTTACAACCCGGCTTTGTAGCCAGACAGACACTGGAGGAAAGCATTGCATTTCACTCTATCTCTGCTTCCTGCTCCCAGAACTTCTTTAATCCCAGGAGAGGTTAAGCAGTAGGAGAAATGGGATCTTCTGGACATTCTGGAAGGATATCAAAGTTGAGGAAGTTAAGTTTCTAAATATTAAGTACCTTACTATTTCCAAGACACCAGAAATAACATAATCCCTTTCTATAACTAAATGGTGTTCTTCCTGTGTTCCTTCCACATTAAGTTCTCAAGTAATTCACTGACCTCGCGGTCCAAACATATTGTCCAAAAAAGCATTGATTTCATCATCAAAGGCCTTTAGATGTTCCTAAAAAGAGAAAGAAAAAATGATTTAAGTGTTTTTTTCTTCTTTTTTTGAAACGGTCAAAACAAGCCACTACCAACAACATGTAACTGACAGACTTTCAAAGGGTCCCAGCTTCAAGGACTTTTGACTGCAAAGACTTAAGGAAAGAGGACAGTAAATGCATCCTCACCTTTCACAAGCCTATAAAGATTTGGAAGGAAACAATTCCTCTTATTTCCTTAGGCAAGAGGAGTCCTAGAGAACAGACTTGGTGCATTTAAACATTGAAGGGTTGGCCAGGCGCGGTGTCTCACACCTGTAATCGCAGCACTTTGGGAGGCTGAGGCAGGCGGATCACGAGGTCAGGAGATCGAGACCATCCTGGCTAACATGGTGAAACCCCATCTCTACTAAAAATACAAAAAAAATTAGCCAGGCATGGTGGCAGGCACCTGTAGTCCCAGCTACTCAGGAGGCTGAGGCAGAAGAATGGCGTGAACCCGAGAGGCAGAGCTTGCAGTGAGCCGAGATCACGCCACCTCACACCAGCCTGGGCGACAGAGTGAGACTCTGTCTCAAAAAAAAAAAAGAAAAAAAAACATTGAAGGGTTATTGACCTAAATTCCATTTACCTCTAAAATGCTTATAGGCAAAGCTGTTCCATAAGCAACTTCCCTTGTTACAATAACAGTTGTGGGTAGGCAATAGAGAACATCTGTTTCCACAAAATATATTCATAAATCCAGTTTTAAAATGAAAATTCAGGCTGAACTGTATTTCGTAAAACTGAATCTAAAACTTTAAGTAGGACTGTTTTTCAAGTAAGGAGCATTACAGCTATTTTTTCTATTTATGTTTTGTTTGTTTTCAAACTATTTCTTACACATTAACATCTACTTTATATTACTGTAAATAGTGCCACTTGGGTACACCCGATTAATTATTGTCACTTTCACTGGATTCAGGTGGGAGCCGGAATACTGCCAGCATGGTCTGCTCTCACGCTGCTCAAAATACCCGTTCAGGTATTTCCCAGCTCCGCCACAGAGGTCTACAGCACCTCCTCAAGCAACCAGAGGAGAAGTCAGAACATTACCAGTATTTCCAGGAAGGTGGGGCCAGCGGGTTGGTCCCTGACTGTGTGTGAGCTGAGCATGACAGCCTCGGGAAGTTGATATGGAGCATGCATTAGATTCAGCTCACTCTCAAAAAAAGTTGTAAGTGCCAAAACAGATGATTAATTTGCTGGCATCTGAAAAAGAGGAGCGGCATGTTTGCTGCCTGGCACATATCACTTGGACCTATTCCTTATTTGTGACTCTGATCCTGAGAGAAATTTCAAGGAAACGTATGTCTTCGGGAACTTTAGAAAGCTTGGGAAAGAGGATGAAGATGATGACTAACATTGACTGGCACCTACTATTGCTGGCCAGCATATAAGGAACTTTATCTTCATTATTTCATAATATCTTTATAAAAAATATCTGGGCTAAACCAAGCCTGAAAATTTTTAAACAGTATATTCATCTTTGTTTCCATGTAGGGCATCTCGGGAGGCCCCCGATGTGAGAAAGGTCAGTTACCTGAGATCTCAGTGTGACAGAATATGATCTGTGTTGCTTTAGAATGGGGGCGGCTGACCAGAGGCCTCTCAGTCTTGAGCAAAGAATGTTAATCTCACAAATGTACTCACCATCATAACAAATGCCAATGAAGTCTTTCTTCCATTGCTGCACCCACAAACAAATGTTTAAACTGTTTCAGCTTGTTTGCTAAGGTTCAAAATCCATTTTCCAACATTTGTAGAGCTAAGAAAACGCTAAAGGTCACAAAGCCCGTATTATTTCTATATTGCAAAAATTTAGTCACAGTGGAAGAAGGGCAGAAACAAAAGTAAAACAAGGGAAGATGTGGAGAACAGAAAAGGAAAGAGATGAATAAAAAGAGGCATTCCATTCCTTTATTCATTAATTTATTGATTCATTAACCAATTATTTGAGGATTTTATATACTAGCACTGTTATATGCTGAAAAATAAAGTCAAATGAGATGTGGTCCTTATCGTCACAGAGTTCTTAGTGGAGAGAGAGTAATACACAAATAAATAAAAAAATTGCAGTACCAGTGTCTTAAATATTATAAGAGATGTGCTATAAAGGATAGAGAAACATACTTTAATTTAGATCTCTTAAAAAGTAAAGCCTTCTTGGAAGAGATAATGCTGTGGCTGAATTTTGAAAGACTGGAGACATTTTCCAGATGGAGAAGGAAAGAAAGAACACATCAGAAAGAAAGATTAACATAGATAAAACACATTGAGGCATGACTCCCTTGGGAAATGTTTTTATGGCCAGGGTCTCTAGTGACCTATCTGACAGAGAGAACCACAGCCAATGCTGGGAAAATCAGAAACCTGATAAAAATTCTCTCTTTATTTCTGGGTTACTTAATATAGTTAGTAAGGAAGTAGTCTAAAAAGGCAATGATGAGATGAGGTGATGTCAGGGGAACAAACTGAGGTTTACACTGGAATAGTAAAACATAGCATAAGCACAGAGAGGTCTGCAGTGTTAGTGAACTGGGGTGAGATTAGGAAGGCTAACTGGGCAGAGCTTGGACCACAAAGTCCTAGCTGCACACTAGACTAGATTCTGTATGTAAATGTCAAGTGTGCTGGACAATGTCTGAAGATTAACACCAACTTAGGAGCAGAGAAAAAGCAGCAAACTCCATGCATTTCATTGACACATTTTTGAACAGCATTCGTGTACATAACACTTTGTCATACATATGAAGGAAAAGGAGACAGAGTAGTTGACTGAAAAGTTTATGCACAAATTGGGAAAGTGAGACATAGAAAGTCAAACAGCAAACAACCGAGAGGAGGAGGACACACAGAACTGCCACACGACAGAAGATACAGGCGTGCGGATGCAGGATGGGTTTTTCAAGATGGTTAGAATTGGGTGGATGAGAAGGGAACAGTATAGCCCTTAGACCTGAGCGAGAGGCACTGGCCTGAGCCCCACACTTTCAAGGCCCCCTTCTGGTCATCCTTTGGCCACGTCCCTCCACAAAGCAAAAAAAAAAAAAAAATCCTTTGAGCCAAGGGATCATGCCTCCCTATGGCCACAACTTAGCCTCCCCAGATGACATTTCAAGTTCCCCAGGCCACAGAATTCTCTGCGAAATAACCCTAGATCCACTTCCAGAACAACTCCTTGCCCTTACAAGAAAGTCTGTGTTCAATGACTTGGAATTCAATTTGTGGCTGTGTACAGCAAATATGAGAAGAATGGAAAGACTGGTAGCAGGGAGAGCCTTATTTAACTCTGGACCCCTGATTACTTACCACAGTTGGTAGGAATGTAAAATGGTACAACCACTTTGCAAAACAGTTCAGTAGTTTGGTAAAAACATAAACATACACCTACCATATGATCCAGTTTTCCACCCCCAGGTATCCATCCAAGAGAAAAGAGGAGTTCGAAACCGGTTTGGCCAACATGGTGAAACCTCAGCTCTACTAAATATACAAAAATTGGCCGGGCGTGGTGGTGCACACCTGTATTCTCAGCTACTCAGAAGGCTGAGGCGGGAGAATCACTTGAATGCAGGAGGCGGAGGTTGCAGTGAGCTGAGATCGCACCACTGCACTCCAGCCTGGGCAAAGAAGTGAGACTCTATCAAAAAAACAAACAACAACAACAACAACAAAAACTAAACTAAAACGATAGAGACATATACAGAGTAAAAAGTTAGTCCCTCCCTTTTCCTTCTCCCCATGCCCACTATCCTCCTTGCCTCTCCAGCAGTAGTCACTGTTAACAGTTTGATGTGTGGTCTCTGGCATTTGCCTTATGTGTATACTATATGTACTTGTACATACATGCCTAGGCAAGTAGATTGGAGTTGGTAAACAATTTATTTCTCTAAATCAAATCCCAGAAAGCAGAGTTTGTGTTTATGTTATCTGATTGCACTCTGATTTTCTTTCTTACAGGAAAGCATTCTTTAAGGCTTAGGAAACTATAGGAATTCTTTGAGGCTTTTCTTTTTTTACCTAGTTTATTTAACTTATTTTTATTAGTAATTTGAATAAAGGTTTTCCACCCCCATGCAAAGACTTGAACGCAAATATTCATAGCAATTTTATTTGTAATTGCTAAAAAGCAGAAACTCCCAAATGTCCATCAACAGGTGACAAATTGTGTATAGCCATATAGTAAATACTACTCAGCAATATAAAGGAATGAACAATTGATGTACACACAACATGGATGTATCTCAAAATTATTCTGCATGAAAAAAGCTACACAAAAATTACATACTGTATGTTTCCATTTATATGAAATTCTAGAAAATATAACTTATAGTGACAGAGAGGAGATCAGTGGTTGGCTGGGGACTGCAGAAGAAGAGACCAGAATAGCCTTCAAAAATGAGGGCTAAATAAGGACATATTCATATATGCCCAAGTGAGAGAATCTGTAACCAGCAGAACTGCACTACATAGTATGCTAAAGATGCTCTTCATGCCAAAGGGAAATGACTCCATATGGAAAGTAAAATGTGCAGAAAAGACTCAAGACAACCAAAAATGGATCTATGTAATTGAAGAGCCATATTCTGAGCACCCCAGAGCAAGCCAGCCTCCCCTACCTCATCACACCACTGTTACAGCCAGCAGCACCAGCACCACCTCTAATGCCCCGTCCATCGCCACCACCAGGAATCAGTGTGGCCTAATATCCAGGGATGCCCTGGACCTGTCCCTTCTATTGGCAATAAATACACCACTTGGAGGTAGTAGGGATCCATGTAAGGCAGTCTCACAGGACTGACTTCTTATAGAAATCTGAGAGGGTCTTCTTGGCATGGAATGTGCAGCTCCTAGTGCTGGTAGACTGGCTCACCATGCATGCCTGCCTTCTGTGGGTAGGTGGGAAACAGAAGAGCCAAGAAGGACACACTTCTTGGGCACTTTTTGCCACCCTGATGCTGACTGGGACTTCCACCCATCCCTAACTCTATCAGTTGGAGGTCAGCACAAACCAGGGCATCTCAAATGGGAGGGCATTTCCCAGTTGGCTCTTAAAGGTTTAAGTCTGTGATCACTGCTTTATCCTCAAAACCCTGATGGCCAGATTTTCTTCAGCAAAGGCTGCCTTGCAATCAGAATCACTGCCACCATGATTAAGGGCCATTCTACAGAAGCTGAGGCAGGAAGCAAGGCAGAAATGAACCCCACCATAAAATTCTGCCTGCGCTTTCTCTGGTATCTAAAGGATAGGACTCTTGATTCCATTTTATTCTTTCCTTTCTTTCTTCTCTTCCTTTAATTTCCTTTTCCCCTCTATTTCCTTCTTCCTTCTTCCCCTTCTCCCTTCCTTTTTAAAATTTACGTTTTAGGCATTTTCTGGTTTTTGGTATTTGTCTACCATGGGCATTGTGTTGTATAAAAATCCAGTGATTCAAGATCTTGATGTTTGCCCTGTTTTGTTGATAGTTTTATAGAACATTTTAAAGACACATTCGATGAGAACAGCTATTTTCTACCACCAACTCACTGCTTTTTAAAATTAGCAAAAACCATTAAGATCACAAAACACACAGTTTGAAACATAGCATCCAAAAAGACTTTGTCTTTTCTTTTTTTAACGTACATTTCAGAGTAAACTAAATGTGAAGTATTCAATGACAAGAAGTCAGGAAATGGGATCTGATCAGCTTAGGAATGAATAGATTTCGTACTAACCTAACACAATTCTAACAACTTCCCAGGAACCTCAAGGTCAAGGCTGAGCTGTACAGAACTGAGAGAAGAGGAGGTGTTATCTCCTCTCAGGGGCAAGGGAGACAGACTAGAGTCACACAGTGAGTCCTCTCCATTGTTCCCATGGCTCAGGGTGGCCTTCAAATGTTGAAACCTCTTTTGGTAACTCCTGGGGGGATTATTCCCAGCCAGTCTCTCATGTATTTGAAGAAACTAAATGTGTTCACCTTTGTGAATGAAACTAGGTTTACAGGATGGATAAGAGTGGATACATAAAAATGCATAAAATTATTTGGCTGTCGTGCAGCTGACTTCACACAATATGTATCTGTGCACATTTTACACTGACACCCCTAAACTGCCTTTTCAGGGCCTATCCACTCTCATCCCTACCTCCCAACTACTATTCTCTGGAGGGAGTAATGAGCTAAGTTGGAGGGTGAGGGTAGGCAATGGGTAGAACAATCTTTTATGTATGGGAACTCTAAATTGTTATTATGTATCTTAGTAATATCATAAGGCTGAAACTGTCTACCTTAGGTTCTAAGGAATCTGAGGATCATTTCTAACATCTTAGAAATGAGATGTTAATAAGCTAACCCTCATGGGGAGTAATACTGGTTACTGTTTATTAAACACTTAGTACGTGTCAGGCACCTGATACATACTCTTTATGGTTGTCACAATAACCTTGCAAGTTGGGTATCTTTCCCAATTTACAGATGTGGAAATTGAGACTGCAGACTCAAGAGTGGTGCTATCAGGTGAGACTTGAACTACAATGAATCAGTGTTTTTCAGCCTTCAGACTGAAGGGTTTCAGAGCTTGGATAGCGGAGAATGATCTCTGCGGATCTCAAGCCCCTTTCTTGTGCTGTGGTATCTCAGGATACCACAAAGCCAATAGTGGGTGATTTTATTTGCATCCTAGGTAGCCCTGAGGCCACAGGACAGTCCCATTCAATTAAGGTGATAAAAGGACTTTACAAACAGAACTATTGCTGCAGTTTGGTTATGCTCCACTTCCCACACATGGCTCTTGTGTTTTATTCAGAGTCTGGCCAAATGGTAACTCCTTACATATCTCCCCATCATCTCAAGGGCCTAGTTACCAAAGAAGAGGGAAGCATCTGCTTGTGGCATCCTGGCCTGTGCTGCAGTCATTCACCATCGCCTGACCTGCTCTATTTTTTCTTTACAGCACGTATTACCCAGACTTTCACTGGCCTGTTAATTTGTGTATTGGCTGGGTCCTCCACTAAAATCTAAGCTCCAGTTAGCCCCAATTCCAAGAACAATGCCTGGCACATAATGGGCACTTAATATTTATTGAATGAATTAATCAAATACTCATTCATCTGAACTTTTACAATACTCACGATATCCATTTCATATACTTCGCATTCCTAGTTATATTTTCATACACATGATCTGGTTTTCAGTGTGTTTTGAAAGAGCCTTAACATTCTTAACTCCCAGTTAATTCTCAGGGTCAACTGGATCCAATTTTATTTTTTAAATTTCTTTTTGGAAGTTTTCTTCCAAAGAACACAGAAAAAAAATTGCCTATATATTTTTAAAGTAGAATCAAATTTATTCTCTCTTGCAATTAACATGAATAGAATGAACCCTTTTATAAGTCTATGATACATTACGGGATCTTAGTGATCTTATTTTTTTCTATAACTTAAAACATTTTTCTATTTAGTCATCCTAGGAATTATCACTACTTATCAATAATTCCAACCTATACTAAAAAATGTGAAAAGGTAAGAATACTGGTATTGCCTAGAAGGACAATGCAAGAGTCAAATAAGCCACCACGATTGCCTCATCTTCTACTTTTCTCATTTCTTTACCAAACTATTGCATCATGCTTCAAGAAGATACACAAGAAGTATGGAGACACCATCTTTATGGACTTTTTAAAGCTTTCATTGAACACAGTTGAGGGTTCAGAATTTTTCAGGTTCTTAAACTTTAATGTTCGTAAGTCACCTGGGGATCTTGTTAACTTACAGGTTCTCATTCAATTGGTCTAGATGAGCTTTGAGTTTGCATTTCTAACAAGCTCCCAGGTGATACTGAAGCTGCTGGGCTAAAGGTCACATTTTGAGTAGCAACAATGAGACCATGCACAGGCTATTGAAATTGGTTTAGATTATAATTAAAGGATTGATTTTTTGATGTGTTTCTATTACAAAAATACCAAGTCCTTGCTTACTTTCTAAAAATCAACCAAGTATTTCATTATCTAGCTATCTGATGAAATTCAAACTTGTTTATACTTATTATATAACCATTAATTTCAAAGCATTTAGTAATTAGTGGGCTATACAAACCCACTTAGATAGTATCCATATTGCTCCAAACAGAAATAAAATCTCTGGGCTACTTGTGTTTTACCTTATATTTCCTGTACCTGAATATAGTATTCTGAAAGTGGCCTGCTTAGGGAAGGGTACAAAGAGGTTTGTGCCTTCTTGATCAGGATAGTATACTTCTATTACAGTTATCATAAGATTGCATTCAGACACTACATCAGCTAGTCCTTGCCAACAAACATCACCAGGTTATTTTCAAGTTAACTACTGCTGAAATCAAGTCTTACATCCTAAACTTCTATAACACATTTTAAAATTTTAAATGCAATTTAAAATTTTTATCCCTATTGAATATTTCTTCATTTCAGCCTCACCATCACATGCTGACAAGATTAGTCCAAATTCCTAAATATAGACATTTTTTCCCTCCAGGTTTAGTATATTTTAAAATTTTGGCACCTTTATTCAGATTACTAATAAAAATAAGTTAAATAAACTAGGTAAAAAAAGAAAAGCCTCAAAGAATTCCTATAGTTTCCTAAGCCTTAAAGAATGCTTTCCTGTAAGAAAGAAAATCAGAGTGCAATCAGATAACATAAAGCACAAACTCTGCTTTCTGGGATTTGATTTAGAGAAATAAATTGTTTACCAACTCCAATCTACTTGCCTAGGCATGTATGTACAAGTACATATAGTATACACATAAGGCAAATGCCAGAGACCACACATCAAACTGTTAACAGTGACTACTGCTGGAGAGGCAAGGAGGATAGTGGGCATGGGGAGAAGGAAAAGGGAGGGACTAACTTTTTACTCTGTATATGTCTCTATCGTTTTAGTTTAGTTTTTGTTGTTGTTGTTGTTGTTTGTTTTTTTGATAGAGTCTCACTTCTTTGCCCAGGCTGGAGTGCAGTGGTGCGATCTCAGCTCACTGCAACCTCCGCCTCCTGCATTCAAGTGATTCTCCCGCCTCAGCCTTCTGAGTAGCTGAGAATACAGGTGTGCACCACCACGCCCGGCCAATTTTTGTATATTTAGTAGAGCTGAGGTTTCACCATGTTGGCCAAGCCGGTTTCGAACTCCTGACCTCAGGTGATCCACCTGCCTTGGCCTCCCAAAGTGCTGGGATTACAGGCGTGAGCCACCAGGCCTGGCTTGTATCATTTTACTTTTTAACAATAAGTCATTATCAATATATTAATTGTATAATTAAAATACTACAACTAAAAACTAAAGAAAAAACTGTTAGCAAAATGACTTATAGAGGAAAGTTGTACAAGTTCCTCCTTAAGTCTTAAAAAAAAAATCAGTTTCCAATGGGTTGGTTTCTTCCTATCCACTTGAAATAAAAGGTGAGAGAAATGAGATGATATCATGATATAAAATGACTAAAAAGTATGACCCTGTTTGAGAAATTCTTGACTAAGTGAAAAGTAACTTAAATTTTCATCAAATACTTATTATTTTATATTGATACAAAGATTAGCGATAAGAGTAATCAACCCAACTTTCTGTAGTAATTGGCAATAAGCGTTTGGATAAATCTTGAAGTTCACATTACATATGCTAAGCTACCAGAATCCGACTATCTTCAAAACATCAGTAAAGCCAGTCACTGTCTAATATTTCCATATGGGTCTTTCCCAGATGCTCAGGGAAGGGGTACAAGAGGGTCCTTTAGCTCTTTAGTTACTCCATTCTGCTTTATCTGCTAACATACCTCAGAGGAATAAGATGACTCCAACCCCACAGTAAGAGAAGGATTTTATTCAACCCAAACAAAACCATGAGGGGCTTCCCTCAGTGGATGTGCAGTAGTCTGTCCTAAGTGCTGGTCAGATTGCCATGTGTTAACAGTAAAACAGCATTTTTCCCCCTAATAGGTTAAATTTTTACAAAAACCAAAGCTCTAAAGCAAGCATGGTCCAGTGACAAACTCATTATTTTTATCATTACAAGTGTGGTTACTGTCACTATTATCAATGTTTAAATATGATGGAACTAACACAGTACAGAGCTCAGTGGAAGGAAAAGTCCATCTCAGTGAACTGTGCTATAGTAGTTTGGATGTATACACTATGCATCTTAACCTCAATTCCTTGGTATCCAGCTGTATGTTACAAGAGGAACTAGCATTCTTATCTGACTTAAAATCTGAAAAACTTTAAAAAATTAAACAATTGCTATTAAGTCCTTTGGCAGACTGGGCCAGAATGTGATGACCTCCACCCACTTTGCTAAGTCTCTGCTCCTTCCAAATCCTCAGATGTCCTCTTTGTTCCAGGCATATCTAATTACTTGGAGTTCCTCCAACACATCCTGTTCTCTCCGCATGTGCCACTGCATGTGTTCTTCCCTCTGCCTGGATATGCCTCCTAACTCTGTTGGTTTTCCCTGGCCCCCCTTGTTCTCCCAAACTAGTCAAGATCTTCTTTACCTGGCACACATTTGAGCTCTCAATAAGCATTTGTGAAAAGCGTCTTTTATTGAACAAGTAACAGAATCACACCAGGAATGGGGCTAGAAAATCTCAAGGGTCCACTTTTGACCTCTTTTTCCTTTGACAACACTCTTCTTCAGGTTCAGAGGGGTGTCAGAATTGTATGTGTATTAATATATATTTGGCAAGTAAAGAGTGTAGGAGAGTAGGAAGAGAGAACAGAGACAAGGAGAAAGCTTTGGGAAAGTATCACTATTTTAAAGCAGAGAGATATTGAGGCAGCAGTAATACTAAAAATATACACACCATGACTCAGGAGAAACCAACTAGTAAAACCGAAAACCTTTTTATTTTAGACTTTTAAGAGGTAAATACCAAGGTTTAAAAATTATTAATATCATTAATATCTTTTAAACAGCAGTTTTCTAGTGTGTTATAGGGCTTGTGTGCATTCGTTCATCTGTTTCATCTGCACACGGTGGCTGGTGCTGCTGGCTCACCTTTTGGCTT
Organism: Homo sapiens; assembly: GCF_000001405.40. Taxonomy (NCBI): domain Eukaryota; kingdom Metazoa; phylum Chordata; class Mammalia; order Primates; family Hominidae; genus Homo; species Homo sapiens. The sequence goes on from NC_000006.12 coordinate 11,021,838, forward strand.
CAGAATCCTCTGCAAACTGGCAGGACAGTCCCCTTTGTGCGAGAACCTGAGCTACGCTTGAGAGGGAGCTCATCCTAAGGAGGTGCGTTGGTGGAGTGTCAGATGCTGACAGGGCTGCCTCAGTAACAAAGCACTAACTGAACATGAGAGGAGTAAAGTAATGTTAAGTGTAATAGGGGGTCTGTCGCTTGGGATTCTTCATGGCTCCATTCCCCAGGGGTCCCAGGGAGAGAGAGGCCGTGATGAAAAAGAATAGGATGTACTCATATAAGACACTGGGGGTGCCCTTGCAGTGCTTGTGATCTCTCTACCAGAACAGAAAAGAGGAGAAAGGTATTCTCCTCAACGTTTCCACAGAATGCTGCGTGGAGTGTGTTACCTGCAAGCCTCCTGTGTCAGAAGTTGTGTCCAGCTAGACAAGAATCGGTGTCCAGCAGAGTCTGGGACACCTGGTATGAACGGCAGTGAGCACTGCCAAGTACTGCGCTCAGCAGGCAGCCGGCACTCCACACATGCAGGGCTGGGTGGTCAGTGGATATGGGGGTCTTACCCAGCAGAGAGGGGCCTGAGCAAGAGAAGAGGACTACCCCACAGATGGCGTGAAAAAGACAGACCAGAATCACTCACAATCAATCCCGGGAGAACTCTTGAAAAAACTCTCTGGGTATGGGTATGTGTGTACGTCAATGGTGAAGAACAGGTACAGGGAATTTGTGAGGAGCTGGGGAAAGAACTGGTGAAACATAAATTATATACACACAAAAAATTTTGAGTTTGCCACTCAGCTGTGTATCACTGGTGCACAGAATGGTGCTTGGTTATCAGATATAACTTTATCTTATTGGTTAAGCTTCTGAAATAGATTTTAAACATTTAAAATATATTCACGAAGCTTAAATGACTTGTGAATTAATTCACTGGTTACACAGAAATGTACCAAGTTTAAGGAAACTCACTTTACTAAATAATGACTATCATAAATAGTCTCTTCTTAATAATGACTATAATAGTTTCTTTCCAGTCATTTTTCAAGTTATGGCCTTCTCTCCAAGAGTATGGAAATAAAATCCAAACACATACTTGTAACATTCTGATCTCATTAGAATATATAAAATAACTTGCTTTAATTTCAAGTGAATAAAATGAAATCTGCCAAAGCTTCAATTTCATAATTAGAAATAAAATTATTCAGTGATTCAATGCTGAATATGTCTGAAACAGAAAAGAAAACAATGCTGCTAAGTTTGCAGTTCAAGATATTTGTAATGATTATTACAACTACTTCTTCCACAGGAAGTGGTGAGTGAATATAAAACTCCTTGGAGATTTCATCCAAAGCCAGATATCTGTATTCAGGACACCTTGGAACTGTACCAGTTTCTGGATTTGGGAACATGGGGAAGAATAAAACTCTTTCACAATTAAGAGCAGCAATGAAAGGAGATTCTGTCTGTGTGTGCTCTGGTTATCAAGTACTGACCAGAGGGGAAGCAGGTTGGCTATTCTGCATGTACAAGTGGTATCCTTTTGAATATGAAAACAAAGGAAAGCTTTTAATGACTTCTTGGAAAAAATATGGGCCAAATTTTATTTCTAACTTTTTAGGCAACAATCACATCTAAATTATTTCTATGTATTTCTATATATTTTGAAAATAGCTACAGTATTTTGATATATTTATGGTAATCAAAAGGATTATTATTTTACTGTTAATACTGAGCAAGAGACAATCTGTGAGTCATCCGGACAGACTATTTTATATTTTCCTTCTTTTAAGCTATAAAACCAACCAATATGGGGATTTATTGAGCAATTCGGGTTCCATGCCTGCTGAATGAAATCTTCAGCACGCGCTGTTTTGTTTGGCAGGACATTACCATCAAAGTGACGGTGAGCTGCCCTTGACTGCATCCTCTTTTCTAGGAGGTAAAGGAAAATCATACCTCTCCCTCAGCATTTAAATCTGAATAATGTCAAATCAAATTGAGTACCATTAGGAGGAAAATAAATCACTAAAAAGAAAAATGCGGCCTGAGCTACGTGAGCAAAAAAATTGGTGAAACACTATACTTGGCCTCTATGATGGTTAGAGTATTACAAACTAACTTTAGATAATTGAATTTCATGTTAGTTTAAGCATCTTCTAGGATATCCTTGTAATTCACCTTAATTCATTCATCACTGTTCAATCATCAGCCCAACATAGTCTCCAAATATAGAGCTGATGAATAAAGACAGACAACTCTATGGAGGGAGGGAAGAAAGAGGTGAAGAGTATTATCTATTTTACAGATGACGAGAGGCAAAAGACAAAGTTATTTATTACAAGCTATACATCATGTGTGGCTAAGCCAGTGGCTTTGCCAAAATGATTGAGTCAAAATAAAGAAAATTATGTAAATGTAAGCCTCTGGCCCCCATTTTAAAATTGGCATTGTGTCACACACAATCTTCTCTCCAGGTTCTTCTTGGATATTGTTTTGAATCCTGCTAAATGAACACTTTTATGAAATACTACTATCCTTTTTCTTATTGATAAATCATTTATATCCAATGGCCAATAGTACCTTATAATATGAAATGTTCCTTAAGTAAATATAATCATTTTAATATTCCTATTATTAGGTCCCTAGACACCACTATTTTTTGTATTACAGGACAAAACTATGTACATGTATTCTCTAAGTACTTAGTATTACTGAATAAAATCATCTCCAAGGCCCCTTCTAGCTCTCAGTTTTAAAGAGACAATGATAATGAGTCTCTTTATTCTCCCATCATTCCTATTCTTTCCTCTCCTGCTTTCTTCTACATTCTTGAAGCCAGTAGGCAGAGTGCCAATTCATACAAAAAGTAAGAACTGGCTCTATAGTATTGTTGACCAAATATCAGCAATCAGCAAACATGAAATTATTACAGATTCTGAAACAAAAAGTACAAATTTCTCAAAAGTAACCTTAACCTAAATTGGCTTTTTTGGAAAGCAGGTTGGTTAACTGGAGGAAAGGTATGTTGAGTTTGTTCCTAACCTCAACGGACAAATTTGTTTGGATTTCCCATGTATACATTTGAGAGAAACTGTTTCTTTCTGAAACTTTCTTCTGCATCTGTATTTCAGGAAACTCAGAGAGAAGGGATAGATTACCGCCCAACACACAACCTTGGAAACTAAAGATTTCAGTGGCCTTGTTAAACTTCGCAGAATTCGCAGTGTGCAATGGTAGCACAAAGCAATGTTTTTGTAGGGGCAACGGCGTAATCTCATAAATTCTAGCAGCCACTGACCTCTAACACCATTCCTTGAAGAGAAAAATCATATTTCCTCAGTTTTCTTTAAAAGGCTAAGTAATAGCAGATTCAAGCCCTCCCCTCGGGTTCCCACTCTCCATCCACGCTGCCAACCCTGACAGCCAGCCCATTCTTTGCCTATATAAGAATTTTGAAACCACTACTAAAAATAAGAATATAAACAAAATAAACAAGTATGCTAATTTTTTTAGCTTCATATATGGCGCCAATGTCTAAAGTATGTAAAACTGATACAAATTTGGAAATGAACTGGGCAGACAGAACTGAAATCAGTAAAACTGAAATCTGCAGGCTTGTAATACTGAGTGATTTCTGTTTGGTAAATTGAGCTACTTCAGGCATTTCACTCATTCAACAATTTTTTTGTTCAAAAGTCTTCTTTTGAATGCTTTTCTTCAGTGTAACTTCTAGTAGTTTTAAAATGAACAAATGCCTATTTGAAACAATTATAAGTGTATCATAAAAATTAAAACAAAGTTAGAAAAGCACACCCATTCAAAGCCATACAAATACTTTAAGAGATTACCAAATTTTCTTTAAAAAGTTTATGGATCAATGTCTTCCCTTGTCTATTAGATACTACTTGATTTCTATAAAATAAAACGTACAGTAGTTGTTATTTTCATGGTTTTATGACTTTAAAAATATTTTCTCTGCAGAAGTCTTCACCCAGTTTTAGCCTCTCAGCTCTCAAAAATAATTTTTCTTTTTAGATAATGCTTTTTAGAACTGTATCATTATAGAGAATGTTAACTGCTGTAATGAATGCAGCTGTAAAAGATTTATAGTCTTTTTGCTTCCAACCTTTAAAAGAAAAAGGGTCAGTTCGGTAACTCTAATGGGTAGTGGCTCTGGGTAGCGAAGTGGGGTGGTGAGAAACATTCCTGAGTTTCCTAAGCAGATAAGCCATCAAGCTTTCAGGATGGTGAAGTGGAAGCAGCGACTGCAAGAGCCAGTTATGACAGCGTGGCTTCCCCTTTGCTAGTGCTAGCAGCCTGATGAGTGGTTCTAACTGTTCCTCAAAGGGCAGCCAAAATTAGTCTCCAGAGAAGACTTAAAGTATCCTGCTCTGATTCCATAAAAATAAGTGTGTATTGGGTTTAGATGTATTAGAAAAGTTAAAGAAGGAGATGTTAGACTATGAATTTTTTTCATTGTCTTTTAAAGGAGAAAGTCCCGCCAACTCATTTGCATAGCCTTAAAATAGCCATGGTTGAAAATGCAAATGGCTCCTGTAACCAGCAAGTAGTAGTGCCGTTTGGGTCGGGCTGTGCTAGGCTGCCAAGATACAGGTGGGCAGCATGTGGCAGGAAATCCTTTTGTGATCCTTCTGGGCTATAACAGGAGAGGCAAGCAGACTGTTGCACGTTAATCCTGGACATGGGAGTGAAGTGTTGTACTACGGACATCCAGGACAGCCACCAAGAAACTGATTCTTAGAGAGCCTCCTTTGTTTCACTCGACTAACTAGGAGTTGCAGGGAAACTGAAGCTGTTTTTAGCACTTTTGTCATTTGTCTTTTTCCATTTGTCTTTGTCCACACTCTTACCTCGTACTAAAAGGCCTCTCTAGCTTTATATGTATGCAGCATATGGAATAGAATAACAGGATTTATTGCCGTCTGTGGATCATAGCTTGATTTCTTCATATCAACCTTACATAGCTATATGGAGTATTATTTATATCTAATAGATTAACTATCCTTACATAGAGATTTCTTTTAAAATATTTAATTGACAAAAATTGTATTTATTTATGGTGCATATGATGTGAAATATGCATACAGTGTGGAATGGTGAAATCAAGCTAATTAACACATCCATTACCTCACATCCTTATCATTTTTTTGTAGTGAGAACACTTAACTGTAATCACCATGTTTTTCGATATATCTCTTGAACCTCCTGTCTAATGGAAATTTTGTATCCTTTGACCAACAAGAGATTTATATCTTTAGATAAAATAATATTTTAAAAGTTTTGGTGTAAATGCTTCTCACTTCTTAAGCTTACTGTCTATGTTTTATGAAAAATAACTTTAAAAGTATAGTATAAATCAACATCGATTTTTACTATAGAAATTCACTTCCCATCACACAGCATTGTAAAGGCTCAAGAATGAGCTCTGCATGGTCCAGAGTCTTTGTTAGGAACAGAAATGAGCTCAGAAACAAGTGACTTTTTTTAAACCTCAGATGAGTAGGAGCAGCTTATTGGCTCTCGTCATATGGGAGAGTCATGGACTTTTTAACTCTCCACCCAAAGCCGGAAATAATTGGTTTCTACAATAATTCTGATAGAAATTTACCCACCTTACTGGAAAGACTTCTTACTACTCTGTAAGGTAGCACATTCCATTTTAAAAATGTTTCTTGTTTTTAGAAAGTCCTACTTTATTTTGTGCTAAAAATCTTTCCCCATTCAACTGTTACCCATAAATCCTAATTCTTTCCTCTGGAGTTACACAAAACTAGTATTATTTTTCTTCCACACGAGAGCCCTTCAGATATTTGATTAGAGGTATTAATTCACCCCCTGCTTTCACCTTTCTTAGGCAAGCAGCCTAAGATAAGGAAATTCAACTTATCCCGTTCTCCTCTCCCTCCCTCCCTGCCTTTCTCTGCTTTACTATGTGGACTGACCTTTCCTACTTTCCACAAGCACTAACTGAACATCTACTAGGTATTAGGCATTAGACACATGCCCATATAAAGGACATGAGCTCCAGACTCTCACCTTTTTCAGCATTCTTTCTAAATTGATTCCAGTTTGTCAACATTTCTCTTTCAATAGAGCCCTCAGAAGTGAACATTTTCAGAATGTCGTAGAACTATTATCTTTCTTACTCTGAACATCGTATTTCTCTTGGTATACCCAATTCCTTTTGCCTGAGCCTTGCTATTTTCCCCAATGCCATTCCTCCAAATGGGTCTAATTTGGACTTTGGGGGAAAAAAAACCTACACACATGGGTTTCTCTTCTTTTCCATCAAGCAACTGATGACAATAGAGTTCCTCTATAACTATGTATAAGTTGCTTTGGTTATAGGATGTCTTTTCCTCTTTGGAGATTTGGTTTCTAGCTTTAGATCTGGATATAGCATTTTAATGCCATAATAGATTAAGTCATCCTAGAACACTGTTTCCCTCATTTGCTGTGGCTGGGAAGGTAAGCCATTGCTTGACTTACATCCTGTTAATCTGACTCTTTAGTCTGGCCACTGTATAGAGATTCTGCCTTTGACTAGACGCAGGTGTGGACAAACAGGCTGATCTGTGGTTGGGTGGCTTCCGTCCAGAGAAACTGTCTCCATCAGAAGAGGATATTGCCTCCAAGTGGAAGAATGGTTATAGGCTTTTTTACCTATTGATTGGTTTATAAAGAAAAAAATTAAATTATCTCACACTAGCTACCCCACAGCAGCCATGAAAGCTTGCTTTTTATGGTATTTTTTTTTTCACTTTAAAATAATGTATCAAGAATTTTCTAATTGCCAGTTCAGAGTTGCCCCCCATCACTGATTTCTTCATTATAAAAACTACAAATGATAGTAATAATAGTAATATATTTATTATAAAGAACTAGAATGTGTTTATTAGATACCAGCCATTGTACTGGGCACATTATATCCTATTATCTCACTATTACTTCATTTAGTTCTCGAAACTACTCTATAAGGCAGGTATGTTCATCCCCCTTTGACAGATCAGGAAAATGGGACTTAAGAGAGGTAAAGCAACTTGCCTGATTTCATAGAGCTGGTAAATGAGACTGTAGCATCTTCTTGTCACTCATTCATGGGGTGATTATTTTTAATCAGTCCTGAGTATGGTTCAGGGTGGGGCATCACTTAAGGCTATGGTTAAAAGAGGTAGCATGAGCCTGGGCAACACGGCAAAACTTTGTCTCTACAAAAAAAAAAAAAAAAAAAAAAAAGCTGGGAGTGTTAGCACATGCCTGTAGTCCTAGCTACGCAGGAGGCTGAGGCGCAAGAATTACTTGAGCCTGGGAGGCGGAAGCTGTAGGGAGACAAGATCGCGCCACTGCACTTCAGCCCGGGGCGACAGAGGGAGATCTCAAAAAAAAAAAAAAAAAAAAAAAAAGGTAGGCTGGCATTCAGTGTGGTTCACTGCAAAGGGCAGGAGTTTTACGCAGGTTCTAGTTTTGGCTCTGACACTAAGTCGCTGCGTAACTTTGGGCCAAATGTTATCTTTGAACATATCTTCATTCTCTATAAAATGAGAATTATCATCCTAACTTCGCAGTGTGGTTGTGAAGACTCAATGATTTCATACTTGTAAAAGCATCTATGACAGGCCTGTACACAGAGTAGAAGTTGAATAGATAGTCACTGATTCAGTGTTCTGCATTTTCAAATCCCAATGCAGGGGCATACTGTCGTAGCCTCACAACTCCCACTGTATCAGGCTTGGATAATCTAAGGGGAGTGACATCGTATAGCAGAAATGTCCCTTCATTAATCAGTGCTTGTCTCAAGAGTGATGTCTTTTTAAAGAAAAATCAGAAGAGAAAGTGCAGTGGTATAAAAGGGAGAATAACAAAATTCCAGTTTGGGGTTTACCATTGTTGACTGGTTGACAGTCAATGTAACTATTCTCAAAGGTCAATTAGTTTTTGTGGGAAAAGAGAAACACTGAGAGGACACTGCATGCAGTGGGTTGGAACCCTTTCACAACTGACTTACAAGTAGGAAACAAATATTTATGGTGTGCAATTTGTTTGAGTAAAAATGCTCTCCTTATTCCTTTATGCTCACTGCCCAGCTTGCCTCAGTTTCCCTATTTGTAAAGAGGGAATGGCAGTACCAACTCCCAGGGTTGCTGTGGGGATATGGGAATACAGTAAAGGTTCTTATGACAATGCTGGGACATAGTAAGAATTTAATAAATGTAATTGGTTGCAGCTATTGTTGGTATTTGGCTATTCTCTCTCTTTCCACACATGAGAAAATATGCTTATCCCTTTCACTGATGGTAAGAATGACAAACACAAATTTCTATTAATACAACTTGTCCTTTAGTTCTCTAAAACTGCATGGATGTGGAGTCTGACCTGGTAAGGCCTTTTAGATGCCAATTCAGTCAGCCAAGAAGGAAGGATTAGGGTCTAAGAAAACAATAGAAGGCCCTCCTGCCCTGTAGCTCATCTGTCCTAGATGTGCTATTCTTAACAGACCTCTGATCTGGGACTCCAATGCAGATCCCAGATCCTTATTTTTAACTTGGGGAAAAAGTGTAAAGGTATGAAAAAGTACAGAATAATAAAATAGACATATCACTTATGAATGTTAAAATTGTGTCATATTTGCTTCAAATCTTTTTTTTGTTTGTTTGTTTTTTTGTTGAGATGGAGTCTCGCTCTGTCACCCAGGCTGGAGTGCAGTGGCTTGATCTCGGCTCACTGCAAGCTCTGCCTCCTGGGTTCATGCCATTCTCCTGCCTCAGCCTCCTGAGTAGCTGGGTATACAGGCGCCCGCCACCACGCCCGGCTAATTTTTTTGTATTTTTAGTAGAGATGGGGTTTCACTGTGTTAGCCAGAATGGTCTCGATCTCCTGACCTCGTGATCTGCCCGTCTCAGCCTCCCAAAGTGCTGGGATTACATGCGTGAGCCACCGTGCCCGGCCATTCAAATCTTTTTAAACTAATTTAAATAAACACGTACTGGGCACTAAGAAATGAAACACAACTGATAAAGTTCTCACTCCCTTTGTACATCTTCCCAATCCTGTGTCCCCTGTTCATTCATCAGATATAACTGCTGCAATCAACTTGATGTCAAGCCTTCCAGTCTATGGTTTTATATATTTACATGCAGATATTCACAAGCAAAAATAGTTTTGTACGTTTTAAGGATTTATATGCACTATAACGTAGCACACTTATCTTTCTGCAGCTTGTTCTGTCATTCAAGATTTTTTTTTGAGATCTATTCATGTTGACACGGCAGCTCTGGCTCATTCACTGTAACTGTTGTATAGTATTCCATCTTATGAATATTCCATATTGTCATTTGTCCACCTCCTTACTAATGGATATATTCGGTTATTTCCCATTTTTCTGCTATTACAAAAAATGCTGCTTTATACAAATCTCCTTATGTTTATTAATGAGAATTTCTTTGGGAATAAATCTCTGTGGAATTGCTACATTGGGGAATACATTTTTATTTGAAAACTACCACAAAGCTCTAAAAATGTATGGAACTTGCTACTGTCAGAATTGTTAAATTTTGCCAAGTTCATGAGTCTGACATGGTTTTAATTTGCAATTCCTTATTACTACTGAAGTTGCGTATGTCTTTAAATATTTATTGGCTATGCAGGTTTCCTCTTCAGTGAGCTGCCATTAAATAACCTTTACCCATGTCTCTAATGGATGGCTTGTCTTCTGTTTATTGATTTATAAGGGTCATTTACACATTCCTAGTGCTAATCTTTTGTTATATACACTGCAAATAACTTCTCCTCCTTTAAAAAGAAAAAATCTGTATGGTGTCTTCTGTCATCTCAAAATTTTCAAACTCTGATGTGGTCAAATGTCACTTTTTATGGTTTGTGTTTAATCTTGCTTAAGAAATTATTCCTGCCATAACCTCTATTTTCTAACAGTTCCAAAGCTTAATTTTTCTTTAGGTTTTTAAATGATCTCAATTTATTTTTGCATATTGTTATCAGGTAGAGATCTAATTTTATTTTGTCCCATATGAAAGGCCATTTGTCCCAACATCATTCCTCAAACAGTCCTTTCCACACTCATTTGTAGTGCTACTCCTCTCTTATAGCAAGTTCCCATATCTGCACCAGACTTTCTCTTTTGGCCTCACTAATCTAGTTGTCTATTCCAAACTTTCTGCATCACTACAGCAAACCACAGATGTTTTCCTCTTGTACATATCAATGAACTAAAAGTCAAAGACTTGGGCTCAGGTTTCCAGTCGGCTACAGACATGTAGAGAAGTTACTTTTTCTGTGCTTTAGTTTTGTTATCCATATCATGTAGAGTTTATTCTATTTTTCCACCTGGCTCCTGCACAAGGTTAAGGTCTTACCTATGAAAGAACTTCAAGGCCATAAGTTGTTCCATCATATTATTAAATAGCAGAACATATTCTCCTAATGGCTGACAAAATTAATTTTCACATCTTTTTACACAATTTGGATAAATGTTTCCTATACAAAAAAAAAAAAAAAAAAAATGTAGAGGAGACTAGGATAGGGCCTCTATAGGGTCACATAAATTTAGGTTTAATCCTTAGCTTTTTCTACTCTATGTACTAAACCATGGACAAATCCTGGAAATTTAGTTGCACATGCCACATATTTTCCAATGGAAAAAGGATAATCAAATATTCCTCAAACAATTACAAAATACAGTCATCCTCTGTATGCATGAATCTGCATCCGTGGATTCAGCCAATCACTTACTAGTTTATGACTCTGAATGAAATAATCTCAGTCTCAGTTTCTTCAAACATGGGAAAGTGACTTTACATGCCTGTTCATTTATCAGACAAGTATTATTTGAGCATCTACTGTCTGCAGGTACCTTTCTAGTGCTGAAGTTACAGCAATAAAGAAGTTCTTGCCCTTACAGAGTTTATATTGCAGTAAGGGAGACAGATAATACACAAGTAAACAAAGATAAACAAGTAACTAATAACATGCAATTGAGACGACGCCCTGAAAGTGTTCTATAAATGGAAACATACTAACATATGGTATTCTAACTTACTATCACTAGGAATGTGGTAGAAAGTTCCTCTGGAGTTGATCACAAATTAGAGGTGTAATTATTTTATTTGAAATAAGCTGGTAGGGAATCAAGCCATACCAGAGACCCAGAAACTTCATTCCATTTGGTTCCAAGTACTCCTCTAGCCTTTTCTTCGACCAGTCCCTTACACAGTAAACTTCATTCCAGCCAGGCTGGTCTATTTACTGCCCCTAAATGTCTACCTATCTTGCCCCCTTCTAACATTCTCCCCTCCTAGATGACACAAAGTCTATTCTCCACTTATTTAGTTTTTTACTCCTACACTATTTAAGTGTATTAAGTCTAGGCAATTTTTACTATTTCCAAACTGACCGAGAAAAAGTTAAAAAAGAAGTTATGTGCATATATGCATTCTTTTCCTCATTATTTCCAACACAATACACGAATCCAATACACTTAAGAGTTTCTGATGTATTTAGGATTTTCATAACTGAAATAATGAGAATGCAGTGTGTACAACAGAGGATGAAAGATATATTTTCTTAAGGGTAAATTTTTAGGGGTTAAGGCTTTAGATTAAGCACTGTTGAGGAGCTCAAGACAGGCAATTTGATGTAGGTGGTTGGGCAAATAGCTAAGGTTTAATCTGATTATGTAGAGCTCTTAAGATTTTCTGAAGTTATGTTTCAAATCAATGAAACAATTTTCAAAAAACATTCAGTTTTATGAGTGCATAAGTGAGAACCATTCAATAAGAAAAGTTGTTTTGAAACAAGCATATAGTTAAGATTTTCAATTTTCACTGATTAATAAAACTCATGTAACCCGAAGAGGAAGAAACAAAAATCAGAGAATAAAACCTTTATCACTTTTTTTATCCTCCCCAGAAGAAAAATCCTTAATGTCGAAACTAAAATCCATCATGACAGGAATATGAGAATTTTTAAAAATGTAAATACATGTGGATTAATCAAGATTGTTTTATAAAAATCTCTATTCCAGGCATAGAGAAAAAAGTTAGGATTGTAAAGATAAACATGATTAAGTTTCTGTGGGTAGCAGCCACCAGTTTTGAGTGTTTACTATCAAGGAATCTTCACTATGTGTGAGTATACATATTTTAGCCATGAGAATACTGATATTCAAATGACTAAACAATTAGTAAGAAGTGGAGTAGGGAACTGAATCCAGGAGTGTGTGGTTAAAGAGAGAATTTTTCAGAAGCTGGCAATATGAAAATAAGTGGAAAGAAGTGACATATTAGTTCAGCCCCTTTATAACCTCCCTATCCAGTCTCTCCCAGCCCTGTATATTATGAAAATAAGATTAAACTTCCTAAATGATATTTTCATCATTTGACTCCCCATTTCAAAAGCCTAATTGTTCTCTATTACCTACAAAATCTAGAAGAAACTTCTTAGCCTCAAATTCAAGACTCTTTAAAATTTGACTTCTCTCTCCTAGCATAAATCCCATTATCCTGTTGGTCCACAAACTTCACACATTTAAAAAACACTTACTGCCGGGCATGGTGGCTCACGCCTGTAATCCCAGCACTTTGGGAGGCCGAGGTGGGTGGATCACTTGAGGTCTGGAGTTGAACACCAGCCTGGCCAACATGGTGAAACCCCATCTCTACTAAAAATACAAAAATTAGCCGGGCATGGTGGCACACACTTGTATTCCCAGCTACTATGGAGGCTGAGGCAGGAGAATCACTCAAACTCAGGAGGCAGAGGTTGCAGTGAGCTGAGATTGCGCCACTGCACTCCAGCCTGGGTGACAGAGTGAGACTTTTTCTCAATAAATAAATAAATAAATAACAAAAAGCACTTATTAGGGCTAAATGTGGTGGCTCAGGCCTGTAATCCCAGCACTTTGGGAGGCCGAGGCGGGTGGATCACCTGAGGTCCGGAGTTCGAAACCAACCTGGCCAACATGGTGAAACCCAGTCTCTACCAAAAATACAAAAATTAGCCAAGCGTGGTGGCATGCGCCTGTAATCCCAGCTACTCTGGAGGCTGAGGCAGGAGAATCACTTGAATCCAGGAGATGGAGGTTGCAGTGAGCCGAAATCACACCACTGCACTCTAGCCTGGGTGACAAAGCAAGACTCTTGTCTCTAAATAAATAAATAAATAAATAAAATAATAATTAAAAACACTTACTGAGCACCTAATCTGTGCTAGGCTCTGTGAAAACAGCCTTGTCCATAAATTGCTCAGAGTATAGTGTTCCATAAATATATTTGTGTTACTACTTTCTGGGGCCTTCACCCAGTTATTTCTCCTAAATAGACTGTTCTGTTCTACACTACATTCCTTCCTTCCCTACATACCAAAATCCAACCCCTTCATGAAGCATACACAAAACGATTTTGCTAGAAGTTCTTCCCATTCATTTGGACCCCTAGAGCGTAAGATTTCAAATTTGTGTGCACTTGATTGTTGGTATACAGATCCCTAGGCCCCTCCTCAGAGATTCTCATTCTGTAGGTCCGACCTCACGTAGCCTAGGAATGTGCATTTAAATATATCTGTCAGATTCCTAGGTCCATGCTCCTTCTATCCATCCTTTCACACAATCGGTTTCATCATTTTCTCCTCTCACTGAATTGACTGCTGAGTACTGTGGTGTCACACAGACATAGTCTTGATCTCAGCTTTATTAATCCCAGTGATGTTGGCTCTTTAGCTACCAGCCACCTCTTGGTCCTGAACACATTCTTGCCATGATAAAGAATAAAAGTTACCTATGCTGTAGGGTCTAGATTTTTTTGTCATAATATTACTAGTCGCATTATTAGACTAAGTCTTTCTATTGGATGGAATGGCACATGGACACGGAGGCACATTTACTGGACTGAGTGGTCCAAACACTGCTGACTTGTGAAGTATGCTTGCACTGGAAGAGACAAAAGAATCTCTTTTTGTACTACAGATTTCATGAAGCAGGGGCTGTCTTTTATATTTAAATTGACAGTGCTTACACACTGCCTCTAATTGAGCAGTACTGAGCACGTGCTGAATGAATGAACAATGAGTGTATCTAATCAAAAAAATGACTGAGGCAATGTATTTGCATGTCTCGAGAGCAATTTTAAAGAATATGTATTCAACGTAGAGAGCATATTTCTTTCCTTCAAAAGGAGAACAAATGCAAAATATTAATTCCAAAGTTTACACTAAGGACTTAAGACTGTTACAGACATATGTTCTGTCTTACACGAAGCAAGTACTGATGAGATTAGTGTTACGAAAGGTATTAAAATAGGGTGTTTCTGCTTACTTTTAAAATTGTAAACAGAAAGTCATTTATGAGATAGTAAACCTAATTTACAAAAGGAACATGATAGCATTTTAGTAGCAGTGGCAGGACTTTAAAAGCTTTGATGTCATAATCCTGCTATTTTTTAACAGAGAAACATGGCTTCCAAAATATAGTGAAGCCAGTGTGGTTGCTTTGTATTCTTGAGTTTGATGCAGACTTCAGGCAGTAAATCTCAAAATGACTTGTGATATATGCCATTTTTTTTAGGAGTCTGAACACAGAAAAGGCCAAAGGAAAGGGGGCATTCTCTTCCTTACAAAGGAATAACAATTCCCTGGGCTCTGGAGATTGAGATGTGAAATAGCCCACATGTACCATTTCGACTGCGTTGCCCCGGAGGAAAGCACAGCCAACTGAGTATTTTTCTGACATCCCAAAGCACGCTCTTCAGCATAAATTCACCACTGACATTAGAACAGTCATGAAATCTGCATTTCCAAAAGTCAAGGAAGCTACAGATCCAAGAGAATGTCTTCCCTGTAACAATTTCAGGAAAGCTTCTAGAATGGGAGCAGAAAGGATCAAGGTATTGGCTTCCTGTTTGTCCCAGCATGCCTTGGAGAACACTCTGCATAGACCTTCCAGAGACAAAATAGAACATCAGTTGTTCAGAACTGAATTTTCAGGAAAATTGAAAATAGCCTAATTTTACTTTTGCCTTATGGACATATTCTGTTTTCTTCTTTCAAAGCATGAGTTAATTTTTTTTTTTTTGAGGAGGGAGAGAGATGGAGAGGAGAGAGAGAAGGAGAGGGGAAGAGAGATGGGGAGAGAGAGACAGAGGAGGCAGAGAGGGAGAGAGAGACAGAGAGGGAGAGAGAGACAGAGGAAGAGAGGCAGAGAGGGAAAGAGATAGAGAGGCAGAGAGGGAAAGAGACAGAGAGGTAGAGAGGGAAAGAGGCAGAGAAGGAGAGAGACAGAGAGGGAGAGAGAGACAGAGAGGCAGAGAGGGAAAGAGACAAGAGAGGCAGAGAGGGAAAGAGAGAGGCAGAGAGGGAAAGAGAGGCAGAGGAGGAGAGAGACAGAGGAGGCAGAGAGGGAGAGAGAGACGGCATGAGTTAACTTTTAATCTAACTCCTCAGTGTAATGGTCAATGAGCTCTTTGACCCTGCCAAAGAAAAAAAAGGCTCCTCCCCATTGTCATAATGCATGTTAAACTCCAAGATCTCATTAACCAAATTCTGCTTAGTCACGTGGAAAATTCAACAGATTTAAATCTTTAAAGTATTGGAAATAAAACCAAATAGTAAATACCATATATGATATCAAAATTTTTGTGTAAAGCTACTGCTGTTCTGATTAATGTTTGAATACTACACTCGTTCTACTAAAAAAAAAAAAAAAAAGTGATGGCCTTACTTCTCTTGAAAATTACTACTATAAGGGAGCACTGTACCAGCCACATGCTCAGTACTGCTCATTTATAGGCAGTGAGCCCTCAAGTCACTCAGGCCACTCAATGTTCTTCTATGTCTGTGTACCATTTTATCCAAAAGAAAGCTTTGTTCCCCTTAAATTATATTAGTCAGTGGATTAAGTTTGATAAGTACATATGGATGTTGTTCACAATCACCTCCATTTCAAATAATATTTTCCTTTGCAGGTTCCATTTTCTGTATATATGAAATGAAACTTAAGACTTTATATATTTAATATGTTTAAGTGTATATATGCAATATATGTATATATCCATATCTATCTATCCATCCCTGTAATTTATGGGAAAGAAACTACATGGGGAAGTCACTCTGATTTTTCCATTTTCATATGTAATAATGGGGAAAAGTACTACTGCCTTTCTCAAAGGCTAAGGCTATATGGAATAGCAGAAGAGGTGGTTATTTTGGATTGAGAATATTTAGAGCTGGTTTTGCTACCTCTAGTATGTGACCTTGGGCAAATTATTTATCTTCTTTGAAACTGTAAAGTAGGTATGTTGCTACAGGACTTGCCTCTCACAAAAGTTTTTTTGTGAGGCTTCAGAAAGAGTTAAGGTGGATTAAAATGCATTGAAAAACATTCAACTGATTAATAAATGTAAAATAGTATTATTATACAGTACTTGAATCATATTTAAGTTATGCTAACTAAAGGCCACACATATATGTAAAGTAAAAATAATTATTTATTCAGCATGGTGTGCGCCTGTAGTCCCAGCTACTCGGGAGGCTGAGGCAGGAGAATCGCTTGAACCCTGGAGTCAGAGGTTGCAGTGAGCCAAGATTGCGCTACTGCACTCCAGCCTGGTGATGGGGCAAGACTCCAGCTCAAAAATAAATAAATAAATAAATAAAAATAAAAATAAAATTACTCAGCAAATCCATATATCATAGCTTTGTTTATATTTTAAGATAATCATTTTTAATTTCAGCAAGAACTTAATGCTATAAGTATAGATTTATCTAAAAATAGAAATACATATGCATTTTAATTTCATTAAAAACTTATGATGAAATATGGATTAAATTATTTAAAAATGACATAACCTGGCCCTTTCCACAAATATGACTATGAAGTGTAAATATGCTGTAGGAATACATATTATCATTTACTAAAAGGTTACACAGGCAAATGTGTATTGATGAAGCAGCTGTATTACTGAAACATGCTCAAACTGAATTGTGATAATTAAATAATTTTAAATTTATCAAGAGATTAATGATTAAATGGTTCCAAGTGCTATGTAAATTAGCAAACTGCTAGTTTTAAGTGCTGTGGAAAAAAAATAAAGCAGTGTAAGAGGATCAGGTGTGGTACATATCCAACTGTGTGTGTGAATATGGTGTGTGACATATGGTAAGGCAGGTTCCAGTTTTAGTAGAGTGGTTAGGGTAGGTCTAATCATGAAAGTATTAAGCAGACAGACATAAAGCTCTCTGGGGGAAAGATGTATACAGCCAAAGGGCAGCCAATGTAAAGATGCTGAGGCCCCATTTGATTCTAACAAAACAATCTTGTGACAGAGATAATACACCATTTAGCAAGTGAGTAAACAGTGTCTCAAAGCAACTTAAGCAAGGGAATGGAGCTAGTAAACAATAAAGCTAGGGCTAGAACCCAGGTTTCTTGACTCTTGGTCCAGTGCCTTTCGTTTTCTCCCTCTGTTCACCAGGCACACAGGAAGGTGCCCTGTTTCTTAGAAAGCACTGCATAAACATCAAGTTTCATTGCTATTGTGGTGGTGGTGGTGATTGTGATTATTAATCAGTTCCATGATATTTCTCTGTTACTATTTTTTAATTTATGCATCATAGTTGTACATATTCCCAGGGTACATGTGATGTTTTGGTACATGTATACAATGTAATGATCAAGTTAGGGTAACTGGAATATCTATCACTTCAAACATTTATCTTTTCTTATGTTAGAAATATTACAATTCTCATCTAGCTATTTTGAAACATAAAATAAATAGTCATATAATTTCTCTACTGTACTACAGACTACTAGAATCGATTCCCTCTGATATTTCCTGAAAGGAAAATAAAACTCAAAGAATGATTTCATCTTCCCTTCCCCTAGCTTATTTTTCTCCTTTATCTGTGCTTCTTTTCTTGAGTGGATCATTTTACTATCAGACTATCTGTGAAAGTAATTATACTTCTCTGGATATTTGACAAAGGAAAGGTATTAAGGGTAGGAATAACCTATAAAATAGAAACCATTTCTGACAACATGAAAAAGGGCTGAGGAAGGAATGGAGAGAATGTGGAGCCCAGTGATTCAGCGAGAGATATACATTTTCCAAGAGACAGGAAGTAAAAAAGTTAAAACAAAGAGTCTACAAAAGAGGAGATCTGTAGAAAAGGCAAAAATGGTGGAAAGGGGGCTCAAGGGGTGGAGGAAAGAGATTTTGAAATATTTTCAAGTAAAAATATGAGAATATTAGACAACAAACAATATAAAATAAAAAAGAGAATAAGAATCAGATTTCAGACACAGTAGACTGAAGAGCTGGTGGAATTACTAACAGCAAAAGAGAACAGAGAAGAGAGTCTGAAAGATGAGTAGCTTTCTTTTTGTAATGCTGGGTTTAAGGTGGCAGTGAGGTTCTCACTAGTGGAAAGGGTGTAAGAGCTTTAAGAGGTAAACTTGGAAGTTGTGTACAATCTAGAGCTCTTTGTCCAATACGGTAGCCTCTAACCACAGGTGGCCACTGAGCCGCTGAAATACGGCTAGCCTGAACTGAGATGCACTCTAAGCATAAAATACACACTAGATTTTGAAGATTTTCTATGAAAAAAAACAATGGAAAAATCTTTTTCTGCATTGATTACATGTTGAAATATTTGCATGGATTGGGTTAAATAACATTATTAAAACTAATTTCACTTGTCTCTGTACTTTTTAAATATGATTAGTAGAAAACTGAAAATTACATATGCGATTTATGTTATATTTCTATTGGACAGCAATATTAGTTGTATATTAAGACCACAAAAGGGACAGAGACATCATTCTGAAGTGTCTCAACTAAAATAGATATGGGAGAAAAAAGAACACACATCATTATAATAGTTAATATTTACTAAGCACTCCAAGCACTGTTTTAGACACATAAAGGGCACCATCATATTTGTTCCTCCCGAAAACCTTATGAAATATTATCATCTTTTACAGGATAAAATACTGAAGCCCAAGGTCACACAGTTAAATGCTGGTGTCAGGATTCAAGCCCACGAATGACCTCAGATCTCAGGTTCTAAACTGTCACATAAATTTCAGAACAAGTTATGCTCTCCAATTATTAAATGGTTAGATTTAAAATGTCATAAATTAACTATTTATTAGAATTGTTCATTGTCAAAGTCAGTTATGTCCCAATTCAATTAAGAAGAAAAGCTACAAATGCGTGAATCTGTAACTGTAGAATTACTATGAGCTACTGATGCTGGCGTATTTTCACCACATTGGGCCATTAAAGAAGTTTCTGGTGCAACTTCTTTCCCCTTATCAATGTCTACTCCCAGAAATGCAAACCTGTCAAGTTAGATGATACATATCCAACTGTCCAACCCAGACGATCATCCACCTAACCCTGAATAGCAGGGCCCTGTTTTCTGAACATAACTAGATACATAATATCTACTTGACACATTTTCAACATTCTCTTTCGGAACATGAAAGCACCTGAACCTCCCAAACTGACTAAAACGTTTTGAAGGAAACTAGATTAAATGGAACCCTTGTTGAAGAACCAAAAATTAGGCTTACCCAACTGGATACTTTAAAAATTGATTTTTTACTCCTTGAAAATGCTATACGTTCGAAGAATCGAAAGAGAAAAAGGCTGGATACTTTGGAATCCTAGGAATCCTAACAGTAAAATATCCTACAAATAGAAACTTAAGTCAATAAGGTATCTTTCATTCATCTTTGGTTGGTTCATTGGTTTTAATTTCAAAGACAAACTTATATTTCTTTCCTTTTTACCTTTAATTTCTACTACCTACCTGGGAAAGATGGTAACCACAGAACTGCTGAACTTACATAGTCATAGCTATAATTACATAATTTTCAAAAACTTATGTAAATTTTATTAAACAATTTGTTTCCAATTAATACATTTCTCCAGACTAATTTTTAAAAAACCAATGCCATAAATCCACATTATAGAAAAACAAAAGGAAATTTGAAAGAAAAAATATTTATTTTGGAATAATAAGACTAACTAGCAGAGATATCTTACAAGACAGTTCATATTGGACATGTATTGAAAAGGATGTCTCTCTGAACTGACCCACTAAGTTATTTATAAATTCAACCCCCTAACTTTCCTACTCCCTGCCCATTTTTTTTTTAAAGTAATACGATTTCAGCCGGGCATGGTGGCTCATGCCTTGTAATTCCAGCACTTTGGGAAGCCGAGGTGGGTGTTGATCACTTGAGGTCAGGAGTTAGAGACCAAACTGGACAACATGGTGAAACTCTGTCTCTACCAAAAATACACAGATTGGCCTGGTGTGGTGACGTGCGCCTGTAATCCCAGCTACTCAGGAGGCTGAGGCACGAGAATCACTTGAGCCCAGGAGGTGGAGGTTGCAGTGAGCCAAGATTGCATCACTGCATGCCAGCCTGGGTGACAGAGTGAGACCCTGCCACAAAAAAAGAAAGAAGAAAAAAGTAATACAATTTGGATTTGGGTATTAAAAAAAAATTCCTCTGAAGACCCACAGTTTCTGAGAAATACTTATCTAAACAGGAAGCATCACACTTGGGCAGGATAAAGCTTTCAAGAGCTTGCCCTTGATTTTAGCTCTTTTAGGTTAACATTCCCATGACTTTCCTATTCAGCTAAAGAGATTTCCTTGGACTTATTCCCTTACTCACTACAATTCCTACCTATACTTTAGGACAAAGCTTCAGAGCCCAAAAGGAGAGCCAGTTGGTCCTAAAAATGCTTTGTCCACTCTGATGCCAAGGTGCAAAGAGCATGAAGCGACAGACAAGGCATAAGAGATAGCCGCCTAGACTCGTCATTGAAGGCTGCCAAAATCGGGTCCCTCCTGTCGGGAGTATCTCCCTCCTCCCAAACTTCACTTGAGACTCTCATCATTACAAATGTCAACTGCATAATCTTTGCAGTTACTCCCCACCTGTGCATTAACATAAAGCAGCTTGCTTTATTGGGTTAATTCAAAAGAGTTATCAAGTACCTACTGTGCGCCAGGCACTGCTGTAGGTACTAGAAATCTAGCAAGCAATGAACGAAATGACAAAAATCTGTGTCTTCCTGAAACCTATATTCTGGTAGAGGAGACGTTCAAGAAACAAGCTAAAGAAACAAAATATGCAGTACGCTAACTAATACATGCTCAAGAGAAGACAAATGAAGCAGGCAAGGGGAATATACACTGTGGTGGGCGGGGTAGGAAAGGTTGGAATTTTAAGATTAAGTGGTCACACATAATCAGGCAGATGGTACGTGCCTAAAAGGGTAGCCAGAGCAAAATCAGATGGAGTGGGGAAGAGAAAGGAAGTGCGCTTATTTTAACAAGTCCTGAAGTGGAGAGAAAACCCTACGGGAAGGGGGTGAGGCAAACACTGAATATGGACCACTGAAGACAAACGCGGATTTCACATTTTGCCTAAAGACCAGTCCTTTGAGGATGGCACAACAGATGTTCTCCCTTTGTAACCAAAGAACCAGGCTCTGCTACTAAAACTGTCAGGCAGTTCATCGGACACGGGTGAACACACACACACACACACACACACACACAGCTTACTGTCAGGCAGTTCATCGGACACGGGTGAACACACACACACACACACACAGCTTACTGCCGAGGAGAAAGAAGCGTTACTAATCCAGAGTGGAGGACTGGCCTGGGAAATCGGGCAGAGAGAGGAGTTGTCGGAAAGAACACACCAGAAGCCCCTCCGAGCCCAGACACTGATAGAAACCCAGCCGCTTCCCAAGCCAATCTGCAAACCCAGGAGGCACCCACGAGTGCACAGACACACCCCCGGGGTGCAGGCGCGGTGAAGGGAGGAGAGGGGCAAGAGCTTGACCGTTAGGGCCCGAACCCCAGAACTCCCGAGGCAGGGTGTGTGCCGCGCGCGGGAAACGCCGTTCTCCGCTCCAGGCGTCGGCGGGCGGTGGCGAGAGCAGGTTCGGGGGTCCGGAGGGTCGGAGGGTGGGCTGCGCGCGGGAATGGCCGCCGCGAAGGAGGGGCGGCTTCCTCGGGCATCCCGGGCGCCCGGCCCCGTGCATGCAACAGGGGACTGGGCGCGAGCGGGCGCCTCGAGGTGCCGGGGCGGGACCGGGGAGAGGGGACCGAGACAAAGTTCCCGAGACCCGCGGGCCTCGGGCCGACCCGCGCGCCCCCGGCCCAAACGCTCAGCTCCCGCTCCCCAGGCCCGCGCGGACCCGGCCCCTCCGAGGGTAGCGGGTTCCAGCGGCGAACCCGCAGCGCCCGCGCCGGCGCCCGCTCGGCCCTTTCCCGCCCGGTGCGTGGGTCCAGGAGAGAAAGAAAGCGCGGCGGTGTCGGTGGCGGCGCGCGGCCCCACTCACCATGATCCGCAGCGGCTGTGGCGCGGCGACCCGGGCGGGCGGCGATGCGCTGTCCAGGGTAGCCGGGTCCCTCTGCCCGGCGCTATCTCGGCGCCCGCGCCGGTTACCCCCACCCACACCCACGCCCGGCGCGCGCACACCCGCCCGCGCCTCCCCGCCCCCTCGGGCTCGCGCCGCCGCCGCGCGGCGCTCCGAGCCTCGGGGCCGTTTCGTCCCCGCCCCCTCTCCCACAGGGGCCTCGCCGGCCGCCGCGCCAGGAGGGCGCGCGGGGGAGGGGCGCAGGGCAAGTGAGGCGGCGCCCCCCGCCCCTGCGGCCTCGCGCGCCCCCTCCTGGGCGACCGACCTCGCCCTCGCGTCCGCGGCGTCCCCTGCCGGCCGGGCGGCGATTTGCAGGTCCAGCCGGCGCCGGTTTCGCGCGGCGGCTCAACGTCCACGGAGCCCCAGGAATACCCACCCGCTGCCCAGATCGGCAGCCGCTGCTGCGGGGAGAAGCAGTATCGTGCAGGGCGGGCACGCTGGTCTTGCTTACAGTTGGGCTTCGGTGGGTTTGAAGCACACATTAGGGGGAAATGGCTCTGTTCCTGCAGGTTTGCGCAGTCTGGGTTTCTTAGGTTTAGGGGGTTGGGTGGGTTTCTCTGGGGGTGCGGTGGGAAGCGGATCAGTTCGGATAACGGCCCTGAGCAAGAGTCTCTGTCCCGCTCCCGGCCTGACGCGGGGCTTCCAGCGGACACGACCAACGGTGAGCGCACCCTCTTCACTGTGAACAGAACGGTGGCCTCCTAGAGCCTGCGCTTCTAGTTACTTTAGTTGTGTGTGTGGCCCAAGTGAAAGACGTCGAAAAAATTGGACTTGCCTGAGTATTACATGAACTTTCTTCCATTTCTCCCTCAAGCATGGGAAGTTGGCGGGCGTGGTGGTTCCCTCCTGTAATCCCAGCACTTTGGGAGGCTGAGGCAGGCGAATCACTTGAGGTCAGGAGTTCGGGACCAGCCTGGGCAACATGGCGAAACCCCGCCTCTTAAATAAAAAATACAAAAATTAGCTGGGTGTGGTGGCCTGCGCCTGTGATCCCAGCCACTCGGGAGGCTGAGGTGAAGGATGGCTTGAGCCCTGGAGGTGGAGGCTGCAGTGAGCCGAGATCACGCCACTGCACTCCAGCCTGGGCGACAGAATGAGACCCTGTCTCAAAAAAAAAAAAAAAAAAAAAAAATGTTTACCACATGTGAGGCTCATGTGGTAAACATGTTTATTGGGGTTGAGAGCAGCCCGTGTGGCTGTGCACGGAGGTACCTGCACCATACACTTAGCATCCCACACCTGGGGCGGTGTGGGAGCCCTTGCAGAGTTTTGTGCAGTAGCAGAGTGAGTAACTGTAGGTACCGGGGCTAAATCTTAACTGTCATACAATCACCTAATATATAGTTTCCTAATAGAGAGTTTTTCTTCCTAATATAGAATTTCTGTAGCTGAAGTGGTAAATATTAGGCATATATTTGTTTATAAAAGGCGGATGATTTTATGACCATAAACAGGTTAACCTAGTCTGATAAAAATCTCAGGAGTCAGCTCTGCCACATACTGGGTGTGTGGTATTGGGTTGGTTACCTAAACTGTCTATGCTCCAGTTTCCTGATTTACGAATTTGGGATAAAATAGCACTTAACATTACATGTAGCTGTTAGGGTTAAATTAATATGGGTAAAACTCTAGAAAAATATCTGGTACAAAAGTACTAGTTATTGATTTGTTATCAATTTGATGCATTTGAGAATCAGAAAGTGATATTCTATTTAATGCTGGCATATTTTTATAAAAAAGTGTGGCCCAAATCAAAGATACAATTTGATTTCAGCTTCACTTACTTTGTTCACTCAGCAAAGATTTCAGTGCCTACTATGTGCTAGGCGTTTTGGTAACAGCTAGGGTTACAGTGATGAAGAAAAACACAGTCCCTGCTGTTAGGAGTTTTTAGAACCTGTGATGATCTATATTATGATATTGAGAGACTTGAAGGAAATTCACACGAATAGTCCCCAAATATTGTTTTTCCTTGGAATGATTTTATTCTTTCTGTTTTACCTGTGTTCTTTCTTCTATTTGATACGTGTTATATTTGAAAGCTATAAAAGTAGCTTCCACGTCTTTTGGATATTGAATGATAAAAACTCTGGACCTGAATTTCACTGTATCACTAATCTGATGCAGTATAATGTGAATTCTTAATCTAGATAGTGATTTTTTGACATTATTGTGTATAAGTAGCACCAGAGGGTTTAATACTATACAGGGATACTTGAGATCCATCAAGATGACCTCAGGTACAGACCAAGAATATGAATTTTTTTTTGGTTTTGCTTTGGGTTTAATATTTGCTATCAGTTTCACATTGCGGGAGTATCTACTTCATTCCAGAGGCATCTCTGACCCTGCATAAAGTATAATGGACTCTCTATGGGTCTTGAAGTGGTGAAACCTCCATTTCTAAGGAATATGAATTTTGAACAAGCACCACAAATGATACTGGTGCAGCCAGGCAGTCCATGGATGATATTTTGAGAAACTAAATTCCATTATCCATTCAGGGAAAGCTTTAGTCTATTTTTCTAACAACATGAAGGGAAAAAACAATTTTAAGTGACAACCGACCTCTAAGAACCCTGCGGCTGTTGCTTGCAAAAATTGTATCATTGATGTCATCTAAACCTTGCAAAGCACACCAGGTAAACATGGGGAAGGAATTCTTAAACTTTGAATTATCCCTATACTTCCACATTACCATTTAGCCTGATAATCATTATTTTACCTTTATTCTCTAAAAATACACATCAACCCATAAGGCCAGAAGGAGATCTAAAAAGTCATCTATATCTTATCTGTTTCTTAAAATATTATTTTATGGCTTTCCTTATCACTACAACAAAGGAACAAATGAGACGGCAAATGCCAGAGGGTCTTTTTCCCCACCAATATTTTATTAAATAGAAAAAGGAAGTGGTGGCCAGGTGCGGTGGCTTATGCCTGTAATCCCAGCACTTTGGGAGGCCGAGGCAGGTGGATCACAAGGTCAGGAGTTTGAGGCCAGCCTGGCCAACATGGTGAAACCCCGTCTCTACTAAAAATATGAAAATTAGCTGGGCGTGGTGGCGGGCACCTGTAATCCCAGCTACTTGGGAGGCTGAGGCAAGAGAATTGTTTGAACCCAGGAGGCGGAGCTTGCAGTGAGCCGAGATAGCGCCATTGCACTCCAGCCTGGGTGACAGGGCAAGACTCCATCTCAAAAATAAATAAATTAATTAATTTTTTTAAAAAAGGAAGTGGTTCTACCTGTATAAACACAGGACTGGAAACATATCTTAACCAGATATAACTGGGAGAGGGTCTTAACTGGGTATAACATGAATTCCCACTTAATGGAAAATTTAACATGCCATCACTTACATGATTTTATAATATTTACTTTCGTTGTTCTCTTGTATGGATTACACAAAAGCTGGACTCTGTTTCTTAGCTGTACGGCAAGCCCATATTGAGCATGTGTACAATAACATAGACTAATTGTGTGTTAGGTACTTACATGGATGTGGTGCTATATAAAGTGATGATTAGCATAATCTAAGAATCTTAAACCTAAAAATAGAGATCTGACTGATGCTCTTTCTCTCCCTCTGTCACATATCGTAGATTTTATAGGTTCAGAAAGTGTGTCTCAGAGGAGTTAGAGAAGACCGATTAATAGATGACAGTGCTAAAGCCTGGATCTCCTGAATCCTGGGTGAGTATTCTCATTGTCTCTACTGCCTCTGCAGTGCTAGTCTGCCAGCCCTCATCAAAATTATGAAGTAGGCAAGCTTTGTTTTGGGGGGAGTTTAATCTCCTTTTAGTGTGGTTCTCTTCTGAAGCATCCCTTCTTTTGATATACCTAGCATCTTTGTGTTTTATCTTGAGAAAAATACTCACTTACAATGTATTATGACTTTAAATCAGTTTACTACATTTCTTCAAAGTATTTGTACTTTTAGGGTAGTAGTAGAAACAGACTCTGGAAATCACGTCCTTTCCTTGGCCATGGGCTCTGCTTTGTGTTAAGAAAGCTCTGCACCTATATGAGTTTAGAAATGAAAAATAGTAAGATAAAGAGTAAAGATTAAGCCCAAGTGAAGGCACATTGAAAAAACTGAGTTCCCTCCATCAAATTTAGTGCAGCTTTCACTCGATATGTTAGGACTAAGGATTTATGACAAAGCAATATATGTATATATTGGTCATTTGATTGGATGTAGTAACAAGGAGACAATCATGACCTTGTATCAATCCAGGTTTAAAATAAAGTTTATGTTAATTCATTTGAAAATATTATGCTGAGTACTATATTCTAGTATAACATTCTAGAGCAGAGGATGGCAAACTACAGTGGCAGGACAAATCCAGCCAGTTGCCTGCTTTTGTAAATAAAGTTTGTATTAGAATACCACTGTGTCCTTATGTTTACGTATTGTCTGTGGGTGCTCTCATGTTAGGACAGCAGAGTTGTGACACAACTGTATGGTCTGCAAGTCCCCACATAGCTACTATTTGGCCCTTTACAAGAAAAAGTGCCAATTTCTGTAGAACTTGGATGATATTAATATGGTATGGAACAATATAGGTGACTTCCCTTGTTTTATGAAGCTCATATTTCAACGAGAGGAAGAAGACAATAAGTCTAGATAGAGAAATGTCATGAAGAAACAGTATGATGATAGAGTGACTTGGGGGTAGCACTTTATTTTTCTAGGTTTTTGCTTTTTAAGTTTTTTATGTATTTTAATTTTTATATATTTAATGCATACAAGTACAGATTTCTTTTTTAATTATTATTATAATTTTTTATTTTACTTTAAGTTCTGGGATACATGTGCAGAATGTGCAGGTTTGTTAATAGGCATACGTGTGCCATGGTGGTTTGCTGCCCCTTCAACCCGTCATCTAGATTTTAAGCCCCGCATGCATTAGGTAGGTATTTGTTCTAATGTTCTCCCTTCCATCACCCCCCAACCCCGACAGATTTTGGTGTGTGATTTCTTATATGCATATATCGCATATTGGTGAAGTCTGGGCTTTTAGTGTACCCATCACTAAATAGTATACTACCTGATAGGTAATTTTTCAACCCTCCTAATTTTTCAACCTGTTAAAGTCACCAGTGCCATCCACGTTGCCGCAAATCACATGATTTCATTCTCTATGACTGACTGGTATTCCACGGTGTGTGTATGTATGTGCATGTATGTGTACACATTTTCTTAATCTAGTCCTCCATTGATGGACACTTAGGTTGATCCCATATCTTTGCTATTATGATTAGTGCTATGATGAACATACAAGTGCAGGTATCTTTTTGATATAATTATTTCTTTCCCTTTGGGTATATACCCAGTAGTGGGATTAAGGGATCAAATAGTAGTTCTATTTTTAGTTCTTTGAGAAATCTCCATACTGTTTTCCATAAAGGCTGTACTAATTTACATTCCCGCCAACAATGTATAAGCATTTCCTTCTCTACATCTTTGCCAATCTGTTGTTTTTTGACTTTTTAATAATGGCCATTCTGACTGGTGTAAGATGATGTCTCATTGTGGTTTTAAAATGCATTTCTCTGATGATTAGTGATATTGGGCATTTTTCATGTTTGGTGGCCACTCGTATGTCTTCTTTTGAAAAATGTTGGCTGGGCGTAGTGGCTCATGCCTGTGATCCCAGCACTTTGGGAGGCCAAGGCGGGCGGATCACGAGGTCAGGAGTTTGAGACCAGTCTGGCCAACATAGTGAAACCCTGTCTGTACTAAAAAGACAAAAAATTAGCCGGGTGTTGTGGTGTGCACCTGTAATCCTAGCTACTTGGGAGGCTGAGGCAAGAAAATCACGTGAACCTGGAAGGTAGAGGTTGCAGTGAGCTGAGATTGCACCATTGCACTTCAGCCTGGGTGGCAGTGTGAGACTCTGTCTCAAAAAAAAAAAAAAAAGTCTGTTCATATTTTCTGTCCATTTTAAAATGGGATTATTTGGTTTTTTCTTCTTGAGCTATTTGATTTCCTTGTAGATTCTATATATTTGCCCTTTGTCAGATGCATAGTTTGCAAATTGTTTTTCTATTTTGTAGGTTGTCTGTTTAATCTGTTGGTTATTTCTTTTGCAGTGCAGAAGCCTTTTAGTTTAATTAAGTCCCATTTGTCTATTTTTTGTTTTTGTTGTGTTTGCTTTTGAGGACTTGGTCATAAATTATTTGCCTAGGCCAGTGTCTTTTAAAAGAGTTTTTTCCCAGGTTTTCTTCTAGGATTTTTGAAGTTTCAGGTCTTACACTTAGGTCTTTAATCCATCTTGGTTAATTTTTGTACATGGTGAGAGGTAGGAGTCCAGTTTCATTCTCTGACATATGGTTATCCAGTTTCTCCTGCACCCTTTATTGAAGTAGGTGTCCTTTCCTTGGGGAGAACACTCTAAATAGGATGGTCAGGAAAGGCCCCTCTAAGCACATAATATCTAAATTGAGATCCATTGATGAAAACAAGCCAGCCATGAAGCCATGAGAAGATCTAGGGGAAATCCTTCCAGGAGAAGATAGCAAATGGAAACACTTCGAGACAGAAAAATCAGGCTTCTTTGAGGAACAGGAAGTTAGCCAGTGTGTCTGGAAAGTGTGAATCATCAGGGATTGTAGTGAGGATGCAGACCAAATCCTATAGATAGAGATCCATGTGTTTGTTGACACCATGGCCACTGGTCCCTGCTCTGTTGCTATGCCTTTGAGGACCTCAGTCCTAAGGAATCCGGGTCCTGGCAGAACATTTTTATGTGATGTTTACTGGTCAGCTGCAGTTATCCTAGTTTAAAAAATCTAATGGGGGCCATTACTTTGTACCCTTGTAGCCATTGGACTTTATCTTTCATCTTTTTGTTATGCTCACTTAACTGATCTTATTTACGCATTCTTGCACTTTACCATTTTGTCTTTCACAGATGCTATTTTACTTAAATTGTCTTTGTTGATTTCTTTTTAAATTTTTTTTTAAAATGTATTCATGGCAAGTAGCACGGGCATAAAGTGGGATAGTGTACTTCACAAGGAAGGCAGTCCCTCGGCATGACCTGCGATAGCCATCCCAATCCATACCACAGAGTGGCTGTTCCTTTCCCAGGTGTACCCCTCCAAGATTAACCCCACACAGTAGTCCTCCAGCCTATTTTTGTTGCAAACCTACTCTACAGCAAACTTGAAGCCTAGAATTCAACTGAAGAAGGAGAGAAAATGCTGATAAAAATGCAACCATTTAGGTCTCAAGGAGGGCACACTGCATGGACTCCCCCTTTCCATTCCCCATTGTGTGATTGTGTGAGTGTGAGTGTGGGGGGGTGTGGCAGTGTGAAGCCACACATCCTCTTCTGCTAGAATTAGAGTAATGTAAATAAGAGACTAGACTAGCAACTCATAATTAATCATTTTGAAGTCTATGATTTTTTGGCCTGTAGTTGGGCTGATCTGTAACAAATGATTTTTACAACATTATTGTAAAGTTGGTTTTTTTTTTAGAGATGGGAATCTCCTTTTTTTTTTTTTTTTTTGATCCAGAGTCTTGCTGTGTCGCTCAGCTTGGAGTGCAGTGGTGCGATCTCAGCTCACTGCAACCTCTCCCTCCTGTGTTCAAGTGATTCTCCTGCCTCAGCCTCCCAAATACTAGGATTACAGGTGCATGCCACCATGCCTGGCTAATTTTTGTATTTTAGAAGAGACGGGGTTTCACCATGTTGGCCAGGCTGGTCTCAAACTCCCGGCCTCAAGGGATCTGCCTGCCTCGGCCTCCCAAAGTGCTGGGATTACAGGCGTGAGCCACCACACCTGGCCAAGATGGGATCTCCTTATGTTGCCCAGATGGAGTCCTGAACTCCTGCGCTCAAGGGATCCTCCTGCCTTAGCATCCTGCGGAGCCAGGATTACAAGTTCGTGCTACCACAAATTCTTTTCATTATTGTAAATTATTGAAGATGTTATTGTGAATGTAGTTGGTGATAAAATTTACATGGATGCACAAAATTTAGTAGACTCTTCCCTTGACTTTGCTTCACCTTAGACTGACTGGTCCTGCATTTTCTTTCTATTGTCATCAAGAACAAAAGCCTTCAATATGAAAACCCTGTATGCCAACAAATAATCTACTCAAAAATTTTGTCAACTTCACCCTAAAGCAAGGAATTTAAATGTATTAAGAAGTCATCAGGTGGCCAGGCACAGTAGCTCATGCCTGTAATCCCAGCACTTTGGGAGGCTGAGGCGGGTGGATCACTCGAGATCACGAGTTTGAGACCAGCCTGGCCAACATGGTGAAACACCTTCTCTACTAAAAATACAAAAAAATTAGCTGGGCGTGGTGGTGTGTGCCTGTAATCCCAGCTACTCGGGAGGCTGAGGCACGAGAATCGCTTGAACCCAGGAGGGGGAGGTTGCAGTGAGCTGAGATCGCACCATTGCACTCCAGTCTGGGCGACAAGAGCGAAATTCCGTCTCAAAAAAAAAAAAAAAAAAAGAAGTCATCAGGCTAATAAAATAGCAGAAAATATAGTCTTATTTAAACATAGCTAATGCATTATTATATTTGTCCTAATTGGTATTAAATGAGGATACAAAATAAGAACAGTCTCAATGTAGTTAACATTTTATCTTTCTAGTAAATTGGTCGATTAACCTTGTAGAAGAAATAGAGATGAGGAGTCTCAGTGATACTCAAGAGTACAGGTCTCAATTATGTGCATTGTTACA
This sequence comes from Homo sapiens, assembly GCF_000001405.40. Taxonomy (NCBI): domain Eukaryota; kingdom Metazoa; phylum Chordata; class Mammalia; order Primates; family Hominidae; genus Homo; species Homo sapiens. The sequence goes on from NC_000006.12 coordinate 11,053,019, forward strand.
ACCTGAGCAAGTTCTTCAATGTCTAGGAAACAGAGACTAAAGCAGGGTGTCCAATCTTTTGACTTCTGTGGACCACATTGGTCTTGGGCCATACATAAAATATACTAACGCTAATGATAGCTGATGAGCTAAAAAAAAAAAAAAATCACAAAATAATCCCATAATGTTTTAGGAAAGTTTACATTCAAAGCCATCCTGGGCTGCATGTGGCCCATGGGCTGTGGGTCGAACAAGCTTTGACTAAAGGCATCCTATAATTAGTGCAGAAGTCACAGCAGGCAGTCTCAGCTTATAACTTCATCATTCTGTAAGCTCAAATGTGATATTTACGGGTAGCTATTGGGTATCCAATAGAAGCCCAAAATTATGCTAGGTAACTTGCAACGTAGCTCATTTAATCCTCACAATAGTCCTGTGACTAGCCCCGTTGTAGAGGTGAGGGACCTCAGGCTCAGAGACGTTCAGTAGTGTACACAGGGTCACATGGTTAGGCAGTTGGAAAGTAGGAGAGCCAGGATTCAACCTGAGGCCTGTTGGACTCTTTCCAGGACACCATGCTGTTTTGAATAATCCTATCTTTAAGAATCTTTATAGAATTGTCAGATAAATTCACTTTCTTCAGGTCATTTATTCACTTATTGAGGGTCAGTCACTTATATGACATGGGTCCACCGTGACTCTAGGAGAGCTTTACAGCATTGGTAGAAGAGTAGGGTTGAAGCAAAATGTTATGCTCATTAAGATTGTCATAGTGGCTTAAAGACAGCCTTCAGAGATCTGTAGGTTAATTTTGCAGTTACAGTGAAAGGGAAATTCTTCTGCATTGTTTGCCCAAGTAGTGAAAATACAAGTGTATGTCACTGGTCTTCCTTCAGCTATTAGTATTAAAGTCTAAAGAGCAGATAAGGTGTGAGCCTTCCAGTGATTTTACTTATTTTTCTCAATTATAGAACATTTCAAACATATACAAAAGAAGACAGAATAATAATGAATCCCAATGCATTCATCATCTACCTCAAAATTATCAACTCATGACCCATCTTGCTTCATCTATATCCTACCTATTTTCCCTCCATCTATTACTTTGAAGCAAACCTCAGATATAATAATTTATCCATAAATAATTTAGTATGTATCTCTAAAGACAAGGATTTTTTTAAAAAACACAATCACAATACCATTATAATACCTTAAAAATCCGATTTCTTAATGTCTTTAGAGATAATAAGTGTAGGCCAGGTGCGGTGGCTCATGCCAATAATCCCAGCACTTTGGGAGGCCGAGTTGGGTGGATCACCTGAGGTCAGGAGTTTGAGACCAGTCTGTCTAACATGGGGAAACCCCATCTCTACTAAAAATACAAAAATTAAATGGGCGTGGTATTGGGCACCTGTAATCCCAGCTACTCAGGAGGCTGAGACAGGAGAATTGCTTGAACCTGGGAGGCAGAGGTTGCAGTGAGCCAAGATGGCACCACTGCACTCCAGCCTGGGCGACAGAGCAAGACTCCATCTCAAAACAAAAATAAAATAAGTATACAGCTCTCCAATTAGGTTTATGTCTTTCTTTTTAACACTGCAGTTGCTTGATGTGTCTTTTAAGTCTCCTTTAATATCTACATCTGTTCATCTCTTTTTCTCGTAATTTGTTTGTACCGTAGAATTTCCAATAGTCTGGATTTTGTTGATGGCATCCCTGCAATGGGAATGCCATAGCTTAACAAGTGCTCTGCATTCTGTATGTTTGTAAATCGGTAACTGGCTCTAGAGGTTTGATCAGATTCAGGTGAGAATTTTTTTGGCAAAAATACCATACATGTGTGGTGTGCTTTTCTATCAGGAAGCACAAAATATCTGATTGTCCACTCTTTCTATATTTAGGCATGCTCAGTACTACATCCAGTGATTCATTAGGGGCTGAAAAAAACTGTGGTATTCTAGCTCTACATTCCTTTTTCATTTATTAGCTAGAATACTTTAAAGAAAAATATCCCCTATATACTCTTTGGTTACCTAAGGGGTATAGTTTGTATAGGAAAGGCAGGATAAATGCCAATTGTAAAATAAAGAGCTGGTTCATTAAACAATATAAAAATGCAGAGAACAAGTTCAAAATTTAGATATGAGATAGGCGAAGAATAAACAGCATTTAGAAATACTCGTGCTAACTGCCAAGATCAATAATGCCATGTTAACCATTGTTGCCCAACTTGTTTTTTATATCATTTATGTTCTACCTGAAAATAGAGTGGCTCTTTCAAAGAATTCGTTTTATTTATATAAACTCTGAAAAGGAAAAAATTAACAGAAGGCTTTAACATGATTGATCGTTTTCAAGGGGATAGGTCAGAGTTCAGGAGAGTGAGTCATGAAGAATTTGTCTAAAATCTTGTTTGGTGACCTCATTGAACTAATTGGATGGAAAAGTACATGTAACAGTAATCTTGGGACAAAATATAGTCTATGTCCAATCCCTAACTAATTCTGTTAAATTTACAATTAATTCCATCAGTACTTCAGCTTAGTTCAGTATTTTACTTATAATGTTAATTTTGACTGCCTTTTTAGTTTCTGTCACACAGTAGACATTTGGTAAATATTTGAGACAAACTGGCCTTTTGTTATTTACCCCATGCCACCTGAGGTTTCTATGACATTCTAAAGAGAATTTTATCCGATTCAAAGCTCTTTGAAAAGTATATTATTTTATTAGATAATGGAAATATAGTCCCTGATTAAATGCCAATTTAATAATATATTTATATAAACAATATTGTGAAACAAATGTGGTCATTACCCTTTTGAGACCTGCACCGTTATAAGATGTTTGCAGGCTGGGCGCGGTGACTCACATCTGTAATCCCAGCACTTTGGGAGGCCAAGGCGGGCAGATCACCAGAGGTCAGGAGTTCGAGACCAGTCTGGCCAACATGGTGAAACCCCGTCTCTACTAAAAATACAAAAATTAGGTAGGCGTGGTGGCAGGCACCTGTAATCCCTGCTACTCGGGAGGCTGAGGCAGGAGAATCGCTTGAACCCAGGAGGCAGAGGTTGTGGTGAGTCAAGATCTTGCCACTGTACTCGAGCCTGGGTGATGGAGTGAGACTCCATCTCAAAAAAAAAAAAAAAAAAAAGATGTTTGCAAAAAACTTTGGACACACAGTTCTAGCTATTACAGAGATACAACACATATATAAAACACATTTAAATAACACAAAAATAAAAACAACGATCACATTTGTTAAGCACAGTGGCTGCTTTGGACCTTGTGTTTTGTAGGTTCTAATATTTTCTCCATGTTTCTGATAGTGACACTGAACATGGTACTAGCAGTGAAGAAACTGCTGCCTGACCAGTACCCACAGGGTCTGTTGAATTCCAGTAATAGCGACAATTCAGTGAGCTGGGAATTAATATCCAGGAAACTTACATATGTTGGAGCCTAAGATAAGGTTAGCTAGTAAGAATGGGGCCAAGTATTACCAATGAAAGAAAATTTAGCTTATTTGCATTTTTCTCTATTTTTTGTCCCTAAAAGGACACACACTTCAATTCATATGTACCTATCCTGATCATTCTTCCTGTAGTGAAATTGAATGAAGCTTGGTGATACTTCCAGTTGAGTCTTTGCTCACCTGCTCTTTTACATTAATATCTGCAGCTTTAAAAGGCAGTGCACCAAGCTGGATGCAGTGGCTCATGCCTGTAATCCCAGCTATTCAGGAGGGTGTGAGGCAGTGGGCAACCAGGGAGTGGCTTGAGCCCAGGAGTTCGAGGCTGTTGTGAGCTGTGATTCTGCCACTGCACTCCAGCCTGGGCACCAGAACAAGGCCCTGACTCTAAACATAAATTAATTAATTATAGTAAAATAAAAGGCAATGCACCAATAGCTAGACATCATGGTGCAACAATTTGTAGTCCATCATTTCCAGTGAGCTGAAGTCACTAAATTCCTGAATTTGGATGCATAGATGTGATTAAAGACCTCACATTTGGAGGATGGCCTCTTTTACCATACAACTTTGGACTCACCCTGCTCCCACAACTCTCATCCTGCCTCCAGCCTCTAGCAAGTTTTGCATAACTTTGGACCTTGCTAAGGGAACTTCTGCTGGTGGTTACACATAGTTTTCTCATCCAGACAAATAGACTATCAACCAGACTATATCTTGGAACTTTAGCATGCTGTCTCATAACAGTACTCAGAACATGCTTATAAATGCAAAGATCTGACGACCTCTGAATTTCTTAAACACTTTATTTTTTATTTATTTATTTATTTGAGACACAGTCTTGCCCTGTCGCCCAGGCTGGAGTGCAATGGCACGATCTCGGCTCACTGCAACCTCCGTCTCCCAGGTTCAAGCAATTTTCCTGCCTCAGCCTCCCAAGTAGCTGGAATTACAGGTGCCCCCCCACCACACCCAGCTAATTTTTAGTATTTTTATATTTATTTATTTATTTATTTATTTATTTATTTATTTATTTATTTATTGAGACAGAGTCTTGCTCTGTCACCCGGGCTGGAGTGCAGTGGGCAGATCTCTGCTCACTGCAAGCTCCACCTCCCGGGTTCACGCCATTCTCCTGCCTCAGCCTCCCGAGTAGCTGGGACTACAGGCACCTGCCACCACGTCCAGCTGATTTTTTTGTATTTTTAGTAGAGACGGGGTTTCACCGTGTTAGCCAGGATGGTCTCAATCTCCTGACCTCGTGATCCACCCGCCTCGGCCTCTCAAAGTGCTGGGATTACAGGCATGAGCCACCGCGCCCGGCCTTTTAGTATTGTTAGTAGAGATGGGGTTTCGCCATGTTGACCAGGATGTTCTTGAACTCCTGACCTCAGATGATCCACCCGCCTCGACCTCCCAAAGTGCTGGGATTACAGGTGAGAGTCACTGTGCCCAGCCAGAAACACTTTAAAGCAAACCGATAGCCTTTGGAACTGGCTGGGGAACAGGTCAATACAATACCCTTTATTCCACTTTAGGAAAAAGAAAAAATAAATAAATGGAAAGAAAACCCAATCCATGTTTTAATGAGACTATTCAAGATTCTTACTCTGCCAGAAGATAGGCTGAAAATTAAAATTTAAAATATGACACAATGGAGACCAAGTACATAATCTCAAAGGGCTCTAAATATCATCAATCTTCAAGAAAAATAAATGTAAGAGCAACTTTTTAAAATTTTTTTTTGAGACAGAGTCTCGCTCTGTCGCCTGGGCTGGAGTGCAGTGGCGCGATCTTGTCTCACTGCAAGCTCCGCCTCCTGGGTTCACGCCATTCTCCTGCCTCAGTCTCCCGAGTGGCTGGGACCATAGGTGCCCGCCACCACGCCCAGCTAATTTTTTGTAGAGATGGGGTTTCACCATGTTAGCCAGGATGGTATCGATCTCCTGACCTCGTGATCCACCCACCTCGGCCTCCCAAAGTACTGGGATTACAAGCGTGAGCCACTGTGCCCAGCCGAGAGCAACTTTTAATACTTTCCACAAATTCAGTACTACCTCCTGAGTAGCTGGAATTATGGGCATGAGTCACTGCACCCAACTTAGTGTTGAGAAAGAGAACCAAGGAAATTAACTCTTAGCATTGAAACAAAGCACAAACTCATTCTGTAGCCAAGTTGTGGTATTTGAGTAATAATCTCAGACACATTTCCTTATTAAGGTCATTAATAGATATCCATCTATATTCTGAGTATTTGTCTGTTAGAATTATCTTGAACTCACTGATACTGAGTATCCACCAAGTCTGAGAGAGGAATATTTTAATGGGGACTTGTCATTTTTGTAATCTTATCTACATAGGCTAAGTCCATCCCTGCATTAAGCCAGGTCTTCAGAAAGCTTAGGACAGGGACCACATCAAATTGACCGTTACTAAATTGTTTGACTCCATTGAACTTTGCACTATAGTATCATTTTATATTTAGAAATACCATAAGAGGCCGGGCTTAGTGGCTCATGCCTGTAATCCCAGCACTTTGGGAGGCCGAGGAGGGCGGAACACAAGGTCAGGAGATCGAGACCATCCTGGACAACATGGTGAAACCCTATTTCAACTAAAAATACAAAAATTAGCCTGGCGTGGTGGCGCGCCTATAGTCCCAGCTACTCGGGAGGCTGAGGCGGGAGACTCGCTTGAACCTGGGAGGTGGAGGTTGCAGTGAGCCGAGATCATGCCACTGCACTCCAGCCTAGGCAACAGAGCAAGACTTTGTCTCAAAAAAAAAAGAAAAAAAGAAATACCGTAAGAAGTCCTGTGAAGTCCTGTGGCATATCTTCTTGTGTTTATCTTTTTTTTTTTTTTTTTTTTTTTTGAGACAGCGTCTCGCTCTGTCGCCCAGGCTGGAGTGCAGTGGTGGGATCTGGGCTCGCTGCAAGCTCCGCCTCCCGGGTTCACGCCATTCTCCTGCCTCAGCCTCCCAAGTAGCTGGGACTGCAGGCACCCGCCACCACGCCCAGCTAATTTTGTTTTTGTATTTTTAGTAGAGCCTGGGTTTCACCGTGTTAGGCAGGAAGGTCTCCATCTCCTGACCTCGTGATCCGTCCGCCTCGGCCTCCCAAAGTGCTGGGATTACAGGTGTGAGCAACCGCGCCTGGCCTTCTTGTGTTTATCTTAATGCAGATAACTTTAAAAAAATTACTTGCCCATGGGCCGGGCCCGGTGGCTCATGTCTGTAATCCCGGCACTTTGGGAGGCCGAGACAGGCGGATCACGAGGTCAGGAGATCGAGACCGTCCTGGCTAACACGGGGAAACCCCGTCTCTACTAAAAATACACAAAAATTAGCCGGGCGTAGTGGCGGGCGCCTGTAGTCCCAGCTACTTGGGAGGCTGAAGCAGGAGAATGACGTGAACGAGGGAGGCGGAGCTTGCAGTGAGCCGAGATCGCGCCACTGCACTCCAGTCTGGGTGACAGCGCAAGACTCCATCTCAAAAAAAAAAAAAAAAAAAAAATTACTTGCCCTACTAGAAGGAAGGAACATAAGATAGAAGTCCATATAACTTATTTTTTATCTGACTTTACTATGTATATTTGTAATGGAATAATTTTCACTTGCTCTAATTACTAATCATCAAAATGAATTCTAAAGAGTTAATCAAGTAGTGGGGTACCTTTGGCAAGACCAAAACTCATTCATTAATTCATTTATTCAACAGGTATTTTTGAGCTCGTTTCATGTGTGTAGTATTTGCCACTAGTGTGTGTCTTCTTCAGCAAAGAATCTCTTCAAATTTTTGGCCCATTTGTTATTATTTTCTTTCTTATTGAGGTTTGAGAGTTCTTCATATACTCTGGATACAAGTCCTTTATCAGATATGCATGTTACAAATATTTTCTTCTAGTCTATGGCCTGTTTTTTCTTTCTCTTAACAAAGCCTTTCAAAGAAAAGTTCTTAGTTTTGATATAGTTCAAGCTGGTTTTTTTTAAATGAATTGTGCTTTCTGTGTTGTATACAAGAAATATTTGCTTCCCAAGGTCACAAAGATTTTATTCGTGTATTTTCTTCTAGAAATTTTGTAGCATTAGGTATTACATTTACATCTATATGATTCATTTTCAGTTAATTTTTGTATATGGTGTAAGGGATGGGTCAAAGTTCTTTTTTTTTTTTCTTTTGTATACAAGTATTCAATTGTTATAGTACCATTTGTTGAAAAACTAATTTTTTTCTTTGAGACAGAATCTTGCTATGTTGCTCAGGATGGAGTGCAATGGTGCAATCTCGGCTCACTGCAACCTCTGCCTCCTGGGTTCAAGTGATTCTCCTGCCTCAGCCTCCGGAGTAGCTGGGATTACAGGCATGCACCACCATGCCGGGCTAATTTTTGTATTTTCAGTAGAGACGGGGTTTTGCCATTTTGGCCAGGCTAATCTTGAACACCTGACCTCAGGTGACCCACCTGCCTCAGCAAGTCTATTATTTTTTAATTGCCTTTGTATCTTTGTCAAAAATTAGTTGACCATATATGTATGGGTCTATCTCTAGACTTTCTATTCTGTTCCATTGATCTATGTGTCTACCTTTTCACCAATACCACATTGTCTTGATTACTGTTTCTTTATAGTAAGTCTTAAAATCAAGTTTTGTAAATTTTCCAGTTTTTCAAAACTGTTTTGGGTATTCCAACTTCTTTGCTTTCCCATATACATTTTAGAATCAACGTGTCAACATTCCACAAAAAATCCTAGAGAAAGTGTGGCTGAGATTGTGTTAAATCTGTAGGACAACTTAGGAAGAAGTGACATCTTCACAACATTGAGTTTTCCAATCTACATACTGGTGTATTTATCCATTGTTTAAATCTTCTTAGACTTCTTTCAGCACTGTTTTGTAATTCTAGGCATATCTTCCATAGATTTCGTTAAATTTCTACCTAAGTATTTCATGTTTTTTGATGCTATTGTAAATGATATTTTTAAAATTTCAATGTGTGGTTGTTGCTACACATAGAATTACAATGAATTTTTATATATTGACATTCTACCTTGTGATATTGCTAAACTTACTTATTCGTTCCAGAAGCTTTTTGGTAGATACTTGGAGATTTTCTACATAAACAATCAGGTCATCTGTGAATAGAGACGGTTGTTTTTCCTTTCCCATATGTATGCCTTTTTTTACTTTTCCTAACTCATTCAGCTGACTTGGGCCTCCAATACGATGTTGAATAGGAATAGTGAGAGCAGACATCCAGTGGTTGTTCCTCATCTTAGGCAGAAAGCTTTGCCTTTCACCAGTCATTATGATGATGGTTGTAGGGTTGTGTTTGTTTTGTAGACATCCTTTAGCAGGTCAAAGAAGTTCCCTTCTTTGGCTGGGCATGGTGGCTCACACCTGTAATCCCAGCACTTTGGGAGCCTGAGGTGGGTGGATCACCGGAGGTCACGAGTTTGAGGCCAGCCTGGCCAACATGAAACCTCATCTCTACTAAAAATATAAAAAAATTAGCTGGGTGTGGTGGTGGGCGCCTGTAATCTCAGCTACTTGGGAGGCTGAGGCAGGAGAGTCGTTTTGAACCCAGGAGGCAGAGGTTGCAGTGAGTTGAGATCACACCATTGCACCCCAGCCTGGGTAAAAAGAGCGAAACTCCATCTCGGAAAAAAAAAAAAAGAAGAAATTCTCTTCTTTTTCTAGTTTGCCGATAATTTTTTTTATTGTTATATATGGATGTTAAATTTGGTCAAATGCCTTTACTGTGGTCTAGTAAGGTAATCATACACTTTTTTTCTTATTTAGTTTGTGGATTTGGTAAATTTCGTTGATTAAATTTTCCTCTAAGCATTATTTTAGCTACATTTCACACATTTTGACATGTTTTTATTTCATTTTTATTTAATTCAAGATATTTTCTATTTTCTCTGATTTCCTCTTTGACCCATGTGTTATTTAGAAGTGTGTCTTTTCATTTCTAAAGATTTGGGGGTTTCCCAGGTATCTCTTTGTGCAATAAAATATAGTGTGTCTGTATTAAAAATGAAAGAAAAGACATTACTTGAGATGCTACAGACACTTAAAGGACAATAAGGGAATAGGATAAACAAATTTATGCCAACAAATTTGACAATAAAATGGACAAACTATTTGAAAGACACAAATTACCAAAGCTCACTCAAAAAAAAATAAATGACTTGAATGGTTCTATGTCTATTAAAGAAGTTGAATTCATATTTTACATTTTTCTAAGAAAGAAACTTCTGGCTCATATGATTTCAAATATATGTACTGCTAAATTTTTTTAAAGAAGAAATAACATGAATTCTACATAAACTCCTCCAGAAAATAGAAGAGGAGGGAGGACTATCCAACTCATTACTGAGGCCAGCTTTATCTCAATACCGAAATCAGACAAAGACATTATCAGAAAACAACAGAACAATGTTCTGTGTGTGCTTGAAAAGAATGTGTATTCTGCTGTTATTGGGTGGAATGTTGGTTTCACCCAGTGTCAGCTAAGTCACGCTTGTTTGTGATATTTGGTCTTCTATATACTTAAGTTGCCTTCATCTTTAATCTCAGTCTACCTTCAAATAGTGTTATATGGCTTCTCATATGGCATAAAAAATTTACCACAGTATATTCCCAATTCTCCAGTTCTACCTTTTGTGGTATTGTTGGCATGCATTTTACTTTTTATGTGCCATAATACTATATAATTCATTACTCTTATTTTTGCTTCAGATAATAAGTTATCTTTAGAACAACTTAAAACAATTTTTTTTTGAGATTTTACTTTCAGCTTAGCCATTTCTAGAGATCTGCATTTCTTTGCATAGATGCAACTCTCTGCCTAGCATCATATTCCTCTGTAGAATTTCCTTGACTATTTTTTGTAGTACAGGTCTCAGGTAATGAATTCTCTCAGTTTTTGTTTGTCTCATGTTTACATGAGATTTCAAATATTTTACTTGAGATAAATAAGTCTCTAGAGATGAATGCCATTAATTCCCTTTCTCCCTGCAAGCACATCAAGAGGTAAAATCTACTTTCATTCCCCTTAAACTTGGGCTGATCTTGTGACTTGCTGTGACCATTGATTGTGGTAGAAGTAACTACATGCAAGTTAAGTTCTGAGTCTAGCCTTTAAGAGTCCTGGCAGCTTTTGCTTTTTCTTGAGGAGGCCAGCCACCTTAATGTAAAGAAGCTCAAGCATAGTTACTGAGTTGTAAGATACACTATGAAGAGAGAAACGCTACATGAAGGAACACCAGATGAGAGATGTGAGGGAAACCTTCTTGGACCTTCCATCCCAGTCCAGCTACCCACTAAATTCAGTTGCAGGAACGACCTTAGCTGATATCACACAAAGCAGAAGAACCACTCAGCTGATCGCTGCCCAGATTCCTGATCCTATTAACATAGTGGCAAGAAAAGCCAGACAAATGTTTAGTGCAGTTAAAAAATATTGTTTATGAACAAGGAACCCCCTTGGCCTGCACCCAGGTTGAACTGCTCCCCCATCTTTCGATATGCCTTTGGGTAAAAGTGAAAAACTTGGAATGATGTGGGGCTAGCTCTTGTACTCACTGGTAAATCAAGATTCTTAGGTATCTGGCCAGGCGCGGTGGCCCACGCCTATAATCCCAGCGCTTTGGGAGGCCAAGGCGGGCGGATCACTTGAGGTCAGGAGTTTGAGACCAGCCTGGCCAACATAGTGAAACACCATCTCTACTAAACATACAAAAATTAGCCAGGTATGGTGGCGCGTGCCTATAATCCCAGCTACTTGGGAGGCTGAGGCAGGAGAATTGCTTAAACCCAGGAGGAAGAGGTTGTAGTGAGCCAAGACTGCACCATTGCACTCTAGCCTGGGCAACAGCGCAGAGACCCTCGCAAAAAAAAAGGAGTGGGGGCTGGGCGTGATGGCTCATGCCTGTAATCCCAGCACTTTGGGAGGCCGAGGTGGGTGGATCACCTGAGGTCAGGAGTTCAAGACCAACCTGGCCAACATGGTGAAACCCCTCTACTAAAAATACAAAAATTAGCTGGGCATGGTGGCCTATGCCTATAATCCCAGTCACTTGGGAGGCTAGGCGGGAGAATTGCTTGAACCTGAGAGATGGAGGTTTCAGTGAGCCGAGATTGCACTGTTGCACTCCAGCCTGGGCAATAGAGTGAGATTCTGTCTCAGAAAAAAAAAAAAAAAAAAAGAGAGATTCATAAGTCTCCACTAGCTGATGGTATGGACTAGCAATAATAATTTCTCTATGTACATTCAACTAGCAGAGTTTCATGAAATACAGCTTACAACTTCTGTTCAGGTAATCTCACCAAGACTTCAGATATTCAGGATCTAGTAGCATTTTTATTCAGTGAAAACAAAATCTTTCCTCCTTCCTTTTTTTTTTAATATTTGTTCTTCATTCAAATTTCAAATGGTATTGTATATTGTGGCAAAAGAGAGTAAATGCTGCTTCATCCTCAGTGGGAACTAAATCACTCCTCTTTGGCTGCAAGCCTGTAGCTGGTGATGCACACAGATGGCCCCGGCATTGTTTCTGGGATTAGCAAGAAGAGACTCCCTTGTGCGATAGAATCAGAAGCCTGCCAGTCAGCCTTAGGAGAAAACAAAACTGGCTGAGATAATGTGTTCATTAAGGTGGCTATCCAGGAATTTTCAATGTTTTTATTTACTTCCTCTAGCTTTTTCTCAAAGAAGGTTTCAAGAGAAAGCTATTTGTCAACCTAAGGAAGCATGTGCATCCGTGGCTCAGTCACTTGCACTTGTTTTATAGAATGATGTTTTCCCTCAAGCTAGTAACTGAGATAGAGTAATGGAAAGAAAGATGACTTCCCGAAATACATACAAAAATAAAATATCTGCTGTCAGGCAATCTTTATTAAGGATATTTAAAATGTAATTATTGTACTTCAGTTTGAATAAGTAAAGTCTTTTGCTACTAATATTCATCATTATTCAGCTACTTATTTTGCCAGTTGCTGCAGTCTTGACTTCAGATAGCTAAGTGTGTTTCTGGACTTGTCCTAGGCCAAAGGAGAGCCTTGCTGCCTTGATGGAAGTTACACCACCTCTTTTATCCTGGTTATGCTCTTATCTGGTGACTGGTCATGTGAGGGTAGAAAGGCCCAGCTCCCTATGCCACTTCTGGAGCACCCCATAGGACGAAATGAGTCCCGCCCCCACTGGCCAGTCCTGCTTCCTCACTCCCTCACAGACATTGATCCCAAGAGCACTCCCCAGTAAATGTTCTCCATTTCAGAGACTGCTTCCCATAGGCAAACGGACCCACAACAATATATTCAGAAAGGTATTCCCCCACAATTCACGTGCTGAAGTTCTAACTGCCATGGAGGGTGGAGCCTTTGGGAGGTGATTAGATAATAAGGGCTCTGCCCTCATGATTGGGATTCGTGTCCTTATAAAGAGACCCGACAGAGCTAAGCTCACTCCTTTTGCCATGTGAGAACTCAGCTAAAAGGTGCCATCTGTGAACTTGGAAATGGGCTCTCACCAGACACAGAATCTGAAGATGCTTGATCTTGGACTTCCCAGTCTCCAGGACTATGAGAAGTAAATTTGTGTTGTTTGTAACCCACTCAATTTGTGGTATTTTGTTATAGCAGCCTGAACTAAGACACCAACTCAACAATTAACTTAGATTTATCTAAACCCCCCAGTTATTTCCTGTATTATTTAAAAATAGGAAATACTGTATTTCCTATATTATTCCAAAGCAAATCCCATATGCCATATTTTTATCTGTAAACATATCAGGATGTGCTGTATCTTTCAAAAGTAAGGACCCTTGCTTTTAAAAGCCATAACCACAATACCATTATTACACCTTTAAAAGTTAACAGTAATTCCCAATAACATCAAATAAAGTCAGTGTTTACTTAATTTGAAACAGGATCTATATAAGGGCCTATAATTGTAATTGATTGATATGTCTCTTAATTTTCTTTTGATCTTTAGCTTCTTTTTTTCTCATCAGATAGTTTTTAATCCGTATAATTTTCAACTTTTGTGATTACTGTGCTTGGATATATGGTCCCTTTTTGTATGGACCGTAAGCTCAGTCTCAAGAGTTTATGGTAATACATGTGATACTAATAGTAGCTGCCTTTTGAGGCCTTTTTATGAACCAAGCACTCATAGTGCTTTGCATATATTATCTCAGTTAATCTGTGTAATAACCCTCAGCCCAATTTTACAGATAGAAAAACTCTCCCATTTGAGACTTCCAGAGGTGAAGTAATAAGAAACAGAGCTGAACCACGTCATTCTGACTCCAGAGTTCATGTTCTCAACCTCTAGGCTCCGCTGCCTGAGTAAACGTATTAGAAGTTAATGCCATGCTGAGTGAGTGCTATGTTATTCTCAGTACTTTCATGGGTGTTTGAAATTTTTCCTAGGTTAACAAAAAAAAAATTGAATGCTGTCATAAAATGGCCATGTGGTCAATCTAAATCAACAAACTTTCTGTGTACATGGAACTGGGTAGGAGCTGAGCAAAATCCATAGATAAATGATGTTTGATCTCTGCCTTCCAGATGCTCACAGGCCAAAGGTTGGTGGCGGGAGACAGACAGATACAAAAGCAGATTGAATAAAAAGTGGGCTGTCGGGAGTCTGTAGTAGAGCTGTAGACAGAAAGTGATGGAGGCAGAAAGGTCATTCTAATTTGGGGGTCTAGGGAAGGCATTTTGGAGAATGTGGGAGCTGCAAGGCCCTTGAATGATGAGAAGGATATTAGCAAAGTGTAGGTGGATGAGGATTGAAGATGATGAGTATTAAAGTGTGATACCACATTCTAATGAAGTTCCTTTGGGGCTTCTCTTTCTCCCAATTGACTACGTGGAAATGCACAAAGCATTCATTAAAGCTTTCTCCCCAGCTCAGCAACTTGCGACACAGACAGATAGGAACTAAACTCTGACCCTGCCTTCACTGCCTTTCCAGGCAGGATCCAGGTTGGAGTGCTGATGTTAAGGTCATGTTGTCCACCTGTATTAACTGCCATTATCTGTTTAGGTCAGGCAGCTTGCCAGGTCTATCTTGGCAGGAAAGCCTCGGTTCCCAAGATAACCTGTTTTGTGCCTCTCTGATTACAACCTGACTGCAACCCTGCATTGTTCTTGGTGAGCAGTGAGCAGCTATCACTGCACAAGGTGACCAAACTCTGTGCTTAGTGGCAGATCCATCTGAGATTCCTTTTGGGTGTGCTAAGAAGCAAGGCTCTCCTTTCTAGTACTTGGAGGGACTACTTACTTCATTTTACATCTTTATTAGAAAAACCTGCTTCTCTGGCTTTACGAGGCTAAGCAAAAAGGGCGTGCTAAGCAGCAAGGTTTTCATTTCTGTTTTGTCACCTGTCAGCAGCAGAAGCTCAGGCTGCCTGACCTTTTCCCAAGCCTAGTGTCTCCCACCTGCCTCCTCGCACATCTTGCAGTTATGTTCTCAGGAAAGTCAAGCAGGTTTAACATTAATCAAAGACAAACCTAAGTAGAGGAGTAAATCGACTACCCACTCCTCCCCTCCAAACAGTATGTAGTAATGAATTCAAAAGCAAAGTATTTTCATTATCCGTGCTAGCAACTCTTGTGACTAAGGATGAAAGTTGAGTTAATAATAAGCCTACAGGCCCTCACTTCAAAGATATAAGGATAACGTATAAATCAATGTTGCTATATTATTTCCAATGAGATTTTTTTAATGTTTACACTTACATGTTTTATTTTCTTCTTATCACATTTATAACATGTAATAGTTCTTAGTGCTGTCCATTAAATATTTCTGGTTTTCCTCCAAATTCACAATAGTAGTATATTTCCTGAACTCTAGAAGTTAGATGTGGGCATGTGATTTACTGTATAGTTAAGACAGTGTGAGTGAAGGAAGTGGATGCCACCTCCAGACAAACTTTGGGAGCCAACGCATGATTGCCTGTGCTTTGCTGTCCCTTTGCCACAGTAACTGGTGACTTTTGGGGTGACGGCTGCTCCTTCGGTCTGATTCACCTGGTAGATCCCCCAGCCAACTCTGTGATAGATATGCAGCACAAGGTGGAAATCAACCCTGGATGTTTTAAGTGACTGAAACTTTGAGGTGGAATGTTACTGCAGCATTACCTAGCCTCATTTGACTGAAATATAGGGTTTTTAAAAAGGCTTCTGAGGATTAAAATGAGCCTCTATAACTTGAGAAAGGATTTTGTCTTGATGAGTGTGATAAAACGCTCACCCTCTACAAATTGGAGGGACTAATGATAATTTTGCCCATCTTTCTAAAAAGGCTTATTTTCCAGTCCTTTGATGACTTACATTATAATCATAATATATAAATATTATGTATATAACACATAATATAGCCCCTTGTAACAAGTTCTTTCCCCAAAAAACATTAACTAAAAGTTTTACAAAGTATTATAGCAAGCTAACTTGGAGGAAATTGCCCTCGTATTTAAGATTTAATACTAAAAATTTCACATTTGTAAAACTTTGGTTCTAAGACTTCCCATGCTCATAATCTACAAGACTGGCCCTTTTTGGTTAGATTTGCTACAAGAACCTGACAATAAAGACTGAGCTGACAAATCTATTGAATAAATTTATGCTGAGCTTCACTGTGTCAAATTTATATTTTAGCACCCTCTGCTGGAGAAACTATATACACTTCTGATAAATGCAGGTGATTTATGCCAATGTGATCATTCTGACTTGTGTCTTAAATATAGGATTTGGAGAATGTTATTTAAAATCTGTACTAAAAGAAGCCTCTCCTTTAAGCAAATGGCCTTCTGACAAACTATCCATGCACCAGTGGTATTTGTCTCCTGCAGATCCCCTAGAAAGACATATACATGCACATATAGTCATTAATGTGTGTATAGTTTACACATGGAAAAAGTAGAAATGGGCTTAATGAAAATGAGAAATTTGTAGGCCAGACGCGGTGGCTCACGCCTGTAATCCCAGCACTTTGGGAGGCCAAGGCAGGCGGATCACGAGGTCAGGAGATCGAGACCATCCTGGCTAACACAGTGAAACCCTTTCTCTACTAAAAATACAAAAATTAGCCGGGCATGGTGGCAGGCACCTGTAATCCCAGCTACTTGGGAGGCTGAGGCAGGAGAATGGCGTGAACTTGGGAGGCGGAGCTTGCAGTGAGCCAAGATCTTGCCACTGCACTCCAGCCTGAGGGCGACAGAGTGAGATTCCATCTCTAAAAAAAAAAAAAAAAGAAATAAGAAATTTGTAATACTATGCCTTTCTTCAACACAGCCTCCCCACCATATATTCTTGTGAGCAAGCACACTTATAGCCTCCAGTCTCTTCTGATTCATCTGCCAAATCTCAGTCCAAATTATGTCATTCCTACTCATTCATTCAGCAAACCATGTGACAGACAAAGTGTTAAGTGGTGGGAATCCCATTTTAAGCTAAACACATTATCTCCTATCTTAGTCTGTTTTATGCTCCTATAACTGAATACCACAGTTTGGGTCATTGATAAGGAAAAGAAATGTATTTTTTATGGCTCTGGAGGCTAGGGAGTTTAAGGTCAAGGGGCTGATCATCTGATAAGCGCTTTCTTGCTGTGTCACCCACAGTGGAAGCTGGAAGGGCAAGAGACCATGAGAGAGCAGAGGAAAGGGGGTCGAACTCATTTTATCTGGAACTCACTCCTAACCCACTCCCAAGGGAATGGCATTAATCTATTTATGAGGGCAGAGCCTCTATCACCTCTTAAAGGTCCCACCTCTTAATACTGTTACGGTGGCAATTAAATTTCAATGTGACTTTTGGAGGAGACATCCAAACCATAAAATATCTCTGTCTTTAGGGAGTTTATGGTCTTATTGGAGAACAGACTTTCACCAAATGAAGAGGTTAGTAAGTATTTAATTATGAACTGTAGGCCGGGCACGGTGGCTCACACCCTATAATCCCAGCACTTTGGGAGGCTGGGAGGCAGGTGTGGATCACTTGAGGTCAGGAGTTTGAGACCAACCTGACCAACATGGTGAAACCCGTCTCTTCTAAAAATACAAAAATTAGCTGAGTGTGATGGCATGTGCCTGTAATTCCAGCTACTCCGGAGGCTGAGGGACAAGAATTGCTTGAACCTGGGAGGCGGAGGTTGCAGTGAGCTGAGATTGCATCACTGCACTCCAGCTTGGGCAACAGAGGGAGACCCTGTCACAAAAAATAATTTAAAAAAAATTATGAACTGTGATATGTGTTTTGAAAGGGTACTCTATGTGAATATCTTAATTATATGAATATGTTAACCTAATTTAGCCAGCTAAGTTAGAAAGCAATATTTGGGCTGAGATGACCTGAACTTGGTGGACGGTGCTAACCAGCTGAAGAGAGGGGTAGGCTGGTGGAGGAGGAGCATTGCACACACAGAAAGCAGCAGGTGCACCACTCTGCATCCAGAAAGGATAAGTGAAAGACAAGGAAGATTCCATAGTAAGGAGATCAGGGGGAGTGTTGCTATTTTACTTTAGAAAGTGGGAGCTGGTAAAAAAAAGGCCGATGGAAGGCAGGGTAGATGGGATAGGCAGTACATTCTCAGCTCTGCATTTCAAAACAAAATTGCTCTTGCTGTGTTTGGGAGAAGAAATAACTGGTTGGATATAATAAGACTGGGTTCCCTTTACTCTACAATTGAACCTAGTGCCCAAGCATGACATGTAAGTTTCTCTAAGTGGGCTCTGTCTGTTTCTTCAATTTCATCCTCACGTGCTCTGTGATACTGATTGTTTCCTGAGAACGTGTACCATGCTCACTTGAAATGCCTTTTCTTTTTCTCACTTCTCCTTTCTCCATCTATGGAAATGCCATTTATTTATTTATTATTATTATTATTTTTGATACAGAGTCTCACTCCGTTGCCCAGACTGGAGTGCAGTGGCATGGTCTCAGTTCACTTCAACCTCCACCTCCCAGGCTCAAGCGATTCTCCTGCCTCAGCCTCCCGAGTAGCTGGGATTACAGGCACCCACCACCAGGCCCAGCTGATTTTTGTATTTTTATTAGAGACAGGGTTTCACCATGTTGGCCAGGCTGGTCTTGAACTCCTGACCTCAAGTGATCCACTAGCCTCGGCCTCCCAAAGTGCTGGGATTACAGGTGTGAGACACTGTACCCAGCTGGAAATGCCATTTATTCTTAAAATACCAATGCAAGACCACATCCTTTGGGAAGCTTTCTCTTTTTTCATCCCCACTCAACATGAATTCTGCTTCTACTTCTTCTATACTTCCATAACATAGCATCTGCATTTCTACATAAGACATCTCATACTTCTCTGCACCATGAGATTGTAAAAAATATAAAAGGGATAATGTCTTCTTTCCTCCCTCCGGCCTCCCCCCATCCCCGGTATTTCCTAGATCATTGCTTTGAACTCAGTAGTGCACTTTGAAGTGAAATTTATCATTACATTTCATTACACTATAAATTTCATTAGATCTCTCATAGTTCCAAATTAATAAGGATACATTCATACACACAAATACATGTAGAGGCACACTTCTAAGAACGGAATGGGCAAGAAGTTAATGCTTTGCTTGGGTTGAGAGAGAAAACACTAGAAAGTAGACAGAGAAAGGGAAGGGAGGTGGGAAGGAATAGGGAGGTGAGTTGGAGTGGGTAGGCAAATAGGTGAAAAGTGTGAGTAGTAAGTGAGGTGACCAGAGGATGACCATATAAATAACCATGCTGACATGGTTTGGCTGTGTTCCCACCCAAATCTCATCTTGAATTGTAGCTCCCGCAATTTCCACATGTTGTGGGAAGGACCTGGTGGGAGGTAATTGAATCACAGGGGTGGGTCTTTCCCTTACTATTCTCATGATAGTGAATAAGGCTCACAAGAGCTGATGGTTTTTTTTTTTTTCTTTTTTTTTGAGATGAAGCTTGGCTCTTGTTCCCCAACTGGAGTGCAGTGGCACAACCTCGGCTCACTGCAACCTCCGCCTCGGGTTCAAGCAATTCTCCTGCTTCAGATTCCTGAGTAGCTGTGATTACAGACACATGCCACCGTGCCTGGCTAATTTTTTGTATTTTTAGTAGAAATAGGGTTTCACCATGTTAGCCAGGCCGGTGTCGAACTCCTGACCTCGAATGATCCTCCCACCTCAGCCTCCCAAAGTGCTGGGCTTACAGGCATGAGCCACCATGCCTAGCCAGGATCTGATGGTTTTATAAAGGGGAATCTTCCTGCACAAGCCCTCTTCCTTGTCTGCCACCATGTGAGATGCACCTTTCACCTTCCACCATGATTGTGAGGCCTCTTCAGCCGTGTGGAACTGTGAGTCCATTAAACCTCTTTCTTTTGTAAATTGCCCAGTCTCAGGTATGTCTTTATAAGCTGCATGAAAACGAACTAATAGGCTGGGCGCCGTGGCTCACGCCTGTAATCCCAGCACTTTGGGAGGCCGAGGCGGGCGGATCACAAGGTCAGGAGACTGAGACTAGCTGAGACCAGCCTGGCTAACAGGGTGAAACCCCATCTCTACTTAAAATACAAAAACAAAATTAGCCGGGCGTGGTGGCGGGTGCCTGTAGTCCCAGCTACTTGGGAGGCTGAGGTGGGAGAATGGTGTGAACCCGGGAGGCAGAGCTTGCAGTAAGCCGAGATCACGCCACTGCCCTCCAGCCTGGGTGACAGAGCGAGACTCAAAAAAAAAAAAAAAAAAAGAAAATGAACTAATACACATGTTGATCTAAAGCTGAAGGCTTGCTTCAGACAACTTCTGTTTTTCTTACACATTTGCACTAAGGACTGGAAAAACAGATATGAAATAGGCATGAACAGATAAACTAGTTGGTGTGTGTGTATACATATGTGTATATCTACATATAGAGAGATAGATACACACATATGAATATCTCTCAAAATGTAAGACAAGATATAATGTGTACTCACTATTCTCTTTTGCCATTTTCTAGTTTGGGGGAAGTTCTATGAAATCTAAGTTGATGAACATTATTCCCCCTGCTGATACCAAAAGTCCTGACTTGTAAGGAGGACAAAGCTGAGGTCAGTGCATAACTATGAGCTGGGGATCTTGTGAAAACACGGATTCTGACTGAGTAGGCGTGGAGTGCAACCTGAGTTTCTGCTTCAGGTGGTGCCGATTCTGCCAGTCTGTGGCCCACACTTTGAATAGCAAGGGACTGGATGATTTCTGGTAATCCTTTTTAATTCTGTTGCAGTTGTTTTGCTTGAAAAACTTTCTACCTTTTGGAAGTATTCACCCATAAATCACTTATAGTTTAAACTATATAGTTTCAGGTGATAACAAAATAGGACATTTCAAGGCAATGAATTAAAAAGGTAAGTAACAGTATTAAATATAACCCAGAATTTTATATGAAATATAACCCAGAATTTTCTCTAAGGCAATAAAAACTTTCAAAGTAAGTGATAAGTGTGAGGATTGAATTTTTACGGATGCGCTTAAAATCCAGTGGACAAGCCATTGTTGAGTGAAGATTCAGTCCTCATCTCTCTTATTGGAAGATGAATGTGGGCTAGATCAGTAGATATCAAAGTTTTTGTTTGTGACCCACAGTGAGAAACATATTTTAGGTTATGATCTTGCACACAAATAAAAGTGTCACAAATAAAACAATATCAATATGTACTCTGATAACATTCATTCTATACAATCCTTTTTTTTTTTTTGAGCTGGAGTTTCGCTCTTATTGCCCAGGCTGGAGTGCAATAGTGCAATCTCGGCTCACTGCAACCTCCACCTCCCAGGTTCAAGCAATTCTCCCACCTCAGCCTTCCAAGTAGCTGGGATTACAGGCATGTGCCACCATGCCTGGCTTACTTTGTATTTTTAGTAGAGATGGGGTTTCTCCATGTTGGTCAGGCTGGTCTCAAACTCCTGATCTCAGGTGATTCACCTGCCTCGGCCTCCCAAAGTGCTGGGATTACAGGTGTGAGCCACTGCACCTAGCCTGCAATCTATTTTTTAAAATGCTTTTCACAAGTGAATGGCAGCCTGCAGTTTGCAAAACTGGAACTGGATGACCTTTTCAGCTTTCATCTTTTTTAAAAAAAAATCACAATTCATTGGCAAAATGTCATAAGACTGTATTGCATTTAGATTCCTAAAGCATTCATTTGTCTTTTTTTTTTGGGAGATGGCGTCTTGCTCTGTTGCCCGGGCTGGAGTGCAGTGGCACAATCTCGGCTCACTGCAATCTCCGCCTCCTGGGTTCAAGCAATTCTCCTGCCTCAGCCTCCCAAGTAGCTGGGACTACAGGTGCATGATGCCACGCCAGGCTAATTTTTTGTATTTTAGTAGAGACGGGGTTTCACCGTGTTGCCCAGGCTGGTCTCAAACTCCTGAGCTCAGGGAAACTGCTCACCTCGGCCTCTCAAAGTGCTAGGATTACAGGTGTTTTTATTGTGTGAAATGGAATATTGGAAAGTGGGATTCCAGGGTAACCTGGATGGCAGAAAAGACCTGCTTGCTATGTCTTCCAGGAGCACTTTTTATTATAGATACCACTTATTTTCCCCCTAATCTACAATATAACTACATGTTTGATCTCTGGAATTTTATAAAGGCAAGCTGGAGTATTTTTTCCCTCAAAACTACTTAACTCTCACTTAAGCAGGCAGTAGAGCAGCGTGGTTAAGAGCATGGACTGATGGCAGGCTGTCTGGTCAGCATCCTGGCCATCCCACATACTAGCTGTATAATTTTGGTCTACTTACTTAACCTTACATGCCTCACTTTCCTCATCTATAAAATGGGAATAATAATACTAGTTGAGTATCCCTTTTCCAAAATGCTTGGGACCAGAAGTATTTAGAATTTCAGATTTTTTTAAAATTTTGGAATATTTGCATATACATAATGAGATATCTTGGGGATGGGACCCAGGTCTAAACATAAAGTTATGTTTCATATATACCTCATACACATAGCTTGAAGGTAATTTTATACAACATTTTAAATAATTTCGTACATTAAACAAAGTTTGTGTACACAAGGTCAAGTGTGAAATTTTCTGCTTGTGGTGTTATATCAGTGCTCAAAACTTTTGGAATTTTGAATTAGGAATGGTCAGCCTGTAGTTCCTACCTAACAGAATTGAGGTGAAGATTGAATGAGTTAACATCGTAGACAAGTACAACAGGAATGTTATTAGCTACTGTTAGCTGGACTTAAATTACAATGTAAAGTTTGAGCCTAACTCCAATTTCATGACAAAGTAGAAGAGTAGTGTTATGTTAATAAGTACTTCTAAACCAGTGTCTTGATATTGAGCTACAATAAATATTAAGTCCAATAAAGGTGTTTTTGTTAATCCAAAATGCAATTTCCCCTCAGTCCTGATTCAAGCAGGCCTGCAATAACTTAGTTATCCAACTGATTAACATTCTAAAACTATACTGAGGGAAAAAACATTCTACCAGAAATTTACATTTTGTACTGGAAAATGAAGATCCAGTAAAATGTCACATTTCTGTAGGAATGTAACAATCAGGGCTTTTGTTGTTTAAATGGAAGGATGCAGGCTCCATTCTGTGTAACACCAAAGAAATATGACATGTTTGAGAAATTTTGTATTTTTTTGCATGGTGGCCTTACTTTCTTGTTGTTACTCATTTTTGGGGTGGGGGGAGGTCAGTGGAAAGTGCTTATAGAAGTTTAGAAAAAGTTAGATTCCGCTGCTAAAGGAAGGAAATACGGTATCCATTTTTTCAAATGTTCTACCTATTAAATTGTGAAAATAATAGTATAGATACCCTTTCAAAGTTCTAAATTGGTTAACTTTCCCCCCAAAAAACTAACAAGTGAACCTAAACAGCTACAATATAAACTTTTATAAACATGGCCTAGAACCAAATATTCTACCTGTCATAGGAATGATTACACCACAGAAGGAGGTGAGAATCAGTCATACTTGCCTTCTTGCTTATGACATGTCATTGCTGTCTGTGTAGGTAAAAATCTATTACTATAGTTAGTCGTCTAAATTGCCATAGGAAACTGGTGTGTGTTCAGTGCCTAACTGCAGCTTAACCACTTCTAAAACTTGAACCATAAATGCTTCATATGTATGTGGATTTTCATAACGTCAGAATGGGAGGAAGGCACAGAGTATTTAAGATAAAGGTATTTTTCCAAATAAGGTCTAAAAGGAAAACATGAACTCCCTCCTCTCCCTGGCTCCCTACTCCTGTTAGTCGTAAAGCTTGCCCAAACACATCCTCTCCTTCCCACCCTTCCACCCTCCCTGTGCCCTTGCCCAGGACTTCATTAGCCCACATTTGCATCTCTACAGCCTCCTATAGGCTGCCTTGAGGCCTGAGGCCTTTCCAGCATATCCTCAATACTACTGCTAGGCCTCATCTGTTAAAAATATTACTTTGGGCTTATCATCTTCTCTCTTTATACTCTCATCACTTCCTTGCTTTAACTTGCAGATGGCCACTTGAGTCCTGGCAGCTCTCCTGATTGCCCCTCATGCATACATACACTGGAACCTTCCCACTGAACTCCTGTATCCAGATGTTCCACCATCACACTCCAAATCCGGCCTGGCAAATGCCACCTTGCTCCTCTCCCCAAGTCAAAGATTTTAGGGCACTGACTTTCATTCAGTCACTCGAGCTAGCAATCTAGAAGTTATCGTTGGCTCTTCCCATGTCCTCAGCAGCACAGACAGCTCATAAGTCCTGGCCCCACTGGGTTGTGCCCATCTGCCTTCCTTACATTCATTTCTTGTGGCTTTTTGCCTAGATGAGTAGACTTTGCAATATAATGCTGTACATTGAGGACATAGAAAGAAAATATGAGAAAGTATATGTATTTATGTTAAAAGGTAAGAAATTAAGCTTTCTTAATATTTGCTATAAAGATAGACACTGGGTCCTCAATTTGTCTCTTATGTTCCATGTTCACATGTCAAATAGAATAATAGGAAGTATCCTGAGGGCATGGTAGGAATTCCACTGTCAGTGTGTCACTCTGTTTTGCTGTTTCCTTGCTATGAGTTGTTTTCAATGGGCCTAATTTTGTAAAAGCAAGATTTTAAAATAACAGGCCATCACTAAAATGGCCAGGCAAACCGTTTCTTACCACCAGGAGTTTTCCGGCTTTTTTCTTGGCAAAGTATTTAAAGATAAGTTACACATATTTTTTATTTCTTTTAGATGAAAGTGTCCTAAGTTAGATTCCTGGGAAGAAAATTCTGAGACACATTCTGCAGGATGATTATTAGGGCTCATCCTTGGTTTCAACACCCATAGAAGGAAGGGGGAAGAAGAAATCGAACAGAGAGACAGAAGTCGAGATGCATTTCAGGCCAGGACTCTTGGCTGAACCCACAGGAGCTCTGGAGCTAGAATGGCCCTTCAGAGTTGTCCTGAGTTGGTCTGAGATGGCCAGTTCTTTATATTCCTGCATGGGATAGTCACTGGATGTCCACCCCAGGAAGGGGTGTGGCCAAGACAGTCCCTAAAATGCCCGCCAGCACTCCCTACACCTGGAGCGACAAGACCAACATCACAGGGGGAATGCACTGGGTGATGGATCACAGCGTTCATCCCAGAAGATGAGGATACAGAATTGGCTGACAACTACGTTCTAAATGTCAGTGTTCTCCAAAATTCATATGTTGAAACTTAATTCCCAATGTGATGGCATTAGGAAGTGGGGCCTTTGGGGGAGGGACTATAGGTCATGAGGGTGTAACCCTCATCAATGGGATTAGTGTCCAGAGAGCTGCCTTGCCCTTCCACCATGTGAGGACATAGTGAGAAGGTGCCATCTATGAACTAGGAAGTGGGCGCTTACCACCAGACACCCACTCTTCTGGCAACTTGATCTTGAATTTCCCAGCCTCCAGAACTCTGAGAAATCAATTTCTGTTAATTATAAGCTACCCAGTCGATAGCATTTTGTTAAAGCTGCTGGAACTAAACTAAGACACTGACGCTTTCTGCGACAAAAAGATAGAGTGAGTCTCTATAGCATACCATGTAACAGATGTTTTTGGAAAAATAACCTCATTTCATATGTTTCCTCAAGATAAAAAGAATGTCATAACAACAAATGAGAAAATAGTTGCTTTAGAAATATTGCACCCTATGGAGAGAGTATTTTGGATTTTGGTTTTTTGTTTTGTTTTTTAACTTTTGTTTTAGGTTTGGGGGTACATATGCAGGTTTGTTATATAGGTAAACTCATGTCACAGGGGTTTGTTGTACAGATAATTTCCTCACCCAGGTACTAAGCCTAGTACCCAATAGTTGCTTTTTCTCCTCCTCTCTCTCCTCCCACCCTCCACCCTCAAATAGGCCCCAGTGTATGTTGTTCTCTTCATTATGTTCATGAAGTTGAGAGAGTGTTTTGAAAAAGAATGTTGGAAAGCATTTCCACTGTTAGATGATTTTAAGTCAAAAAGTTATACAACAGTGTGACCTATTTGCACACAAGCATGGACACAGAATTGTGTCATATGTTTAAAACTTTTCTAGATCCTTTTGTGGTTCATAAGCTTGATGATTGAGTTTTCGCGTCCACATGTGAGATGTGCCTCCCTTGAGCCTTGTCATTGGCACATTACCTGCCTGATGTGAACAATAAAAATAAAAAATAAAAATTTGCTAAGCAGAGTTTCTGTGGATTTCTAACTTATTTATAAAAACAATAAAAATGTAACATATTCCATTTAGTGTTCAAGAACAACTAAGTAACAGTAAAGATGGAAATTTGCTAGCCGAATTTCAAGAAAAATCTTTGTACAGTAAGTGGATGAGATTGAAAAAAATGTGTGTCACAATTCAAAAGTCAGTCAGAAGCCTGGATAACATAGTGAGCCTCTGCCTCCACAAAAATTAAAACTTAAAAAAATTAGCCTGTAGTCCTGGCTACTTGGGAGGTTGAGGTGGGAGGATCGCCTGAGCCCACGAGTTTGGGGCCATGGTGAGGCGTGATCACACCACTGCACTCCAGCCTGGGCAACAGAGCGAGACCCTGTCTAAAAAAAGAAAAGAAAAAGACAAAAGTCAGTCAGAGGGGCACTGCTTTCATTTGGAATTCTTCATCTTTTTGAGGTATTAAAGAAAAATGATTTCTCACCATACTGCTGACACCAAATGTGGGAGTGTGTGTCCACAAGACCCAATTCTCCAACCCTCTATACACAAACTGAGTGTCCTACAATTCATTTCCTTTTTTTTTTTTTTTTGAGATGGAGTCTCAATCTGTGGCCCAGGCTGGAGTGCAGTGGCACGATCTCAGTTCACTGCAAACTCTGCCTCTTGGGTTCAAATGATTCCCCTGCCTCAGCCTCCCGAGTAGATGGGATTACAGGTGCCCACCACCATGCCCAGCTAATTTTAGTGTTTTAGTAGAGACGGGGTTTTGCCATGTTGGCCAGGATGGTCTTGAACTCCTGACCTCCTGCCTTGGCCTCCTAAAGTACAGGCGTGAGCCACTGCACCCAGCCCTGCAATTCATTTCTGACACTAACTATCCAGAGTTAGTGCAGCCCCCACGGGTTATGGGTCCATTCCACAAGACTGTCCCCACTTCAGATTCCAGTGCCAGATCTGGGCCTCCTGTATGTCTGAACAATCAGCTATAAATCTGTACATCAGGGCTCTCCACCATCCTCTCCTCATGCTCCGTAAGTTGTTAGAACAGCTCACAGAACTCAGGGAAACATTTTACCTTCATTGACTGGTTTATTATAGAGAATATGATAGAAGATACAAATGAACAGCCAGATGAAGAGGTACATAGAGCGAGGTCCCAGGCACAGGAGCTTCTGTCCCCATGGAGTTGATATGCGCCAACCTCCCAGCACATGGTTGTACTCACCAACCCAGAAGCTTTCTGAATCTGGTAGTTTAGTGATTTAGTGGAGGCTTCATCATGGAAGCATGACTGATTATTAACTCAGTCACTAGTCCCTCTCTCTTCCCCAGAGGATGTGGGGTGGAGCTGAAAATTCCAAGCTTCTAATCATGGCTTGGTCTTTCTGGTGACCAGCTCCATTCAGGAGCTTCATTCAGCCAGTTGCCTGGCTAGAACAAAAGACATTCCCGTCGTCTTTTGGACATCCCAAGAATTTTCAAAGGATTTGGGACCTCTGTCTCAGGAACCAGAGTGTATTAGTCCATTCTCACATTGCTATAAAGAAATACCTGAGACTGGGTAATTTATAAAGAAAGGAGGTTTCGTTGGCTCACAGTTCTGCAGGCTGTCAGGAAGCATAGGGGCTTCTGCTCCTGGGGAGGCCTCAGGAAGCTTCCAATTATGAGGGAAGACAAAGGGGTAGTGAGGCATCTCACATGCCCGGAGCAGGAGCAAGACAGAGGGGAGACGCCACACACTTTTAAACAACCAGATCTTGAGAGGACTTATTATTGTGAGAACAGTACTAAGAGGATGGTGCTAAACCATTCGTGAGAAATCTGCCCCCATGGTCCAGTCACCTCCCACCAGGCCCCGCCCCCAACACTAAGGATTACAATTCGCCATGAGATTTGGGTGGGGACACAGACCCAAACCATATCACAGAGTTGAGGACCAAATATTAGAATAAAAGGTGCTCTTAGTACTCCTATTGCTCAGGAAACTACAAGAGTTTTAGGAGCTCTGTGTCAAGAACTGGAGACAGAGACCAAATATATATTTCTTATATGTCGTAGATATTTTTTAAAATTATGACAAATATTAAAATTAAGTATTAAGATAAAGTGAATATAGGTCATTGAACTGCTAAACCTCAAAGTATTAATCATTTTCAAAAGATTTTTTGAAGTAATGAAGAGTATTTGGTGATTGTTATGGATTGAATTATGTCTCACAGAAAGTTTAGTTGAAATCCTTATCCTCAGTTCCTATTTGGAAATAGGGTCATTGCAGATATAATTAGTTAAATTAAGATGAGGTCATAAGGTTTTTTTTTTTTTTTTTTTTTTTTTTGAGACAGAATTCCGCTCCTGTTTCCCAGGGTGGAGTGCAGTGGCGTGATCTCCGCTCACTGCACCCTCTGCCTCCCCGGTTCAAGCGATTCTCCTGCCTCAGCCTCCCAAGTAGCTGGAATTACAAGCAGCCACCACCACACCCGGCTAATTTTTGTATTTTTAGTAGAGATGGGGGTTTCACCCATTGGCCAGGCTGGTCTTGAACTCCTGACCTCAGGTGATCCATCTGCCTCAGCCTCCCAAAGTGCTGGGATTACAGGCGTGAGCTACTGTGCCCAGCCGGTAGGCCCTTATATGACTGGTGTCCCTATAACAAGAGGAGAGGGCAGATACACATAGAGGAGAGGACCAGGTAAGGAGGAGTCCAAGAGTACATTTATGTTGCCACTAGCCAGGGAACACCTGGGGCTATCCAACGCTGGTAGAGGCAAGGAAGAATCCTTTCCTAGAACCTTCGGAGGGTCCATGGCCCTCCTAGCAGCTTGATTTTGGACTTCTAGCCCCCACAACAGTGACAGAATAAACTCCTGTTGTTTTAAGCTACTCAGTTTGTGGTTCTTTGTACTTCGTGGTTCTAGCAAACTAACACAGTGATATTAAAAATTTTCTCTACTGTTAAAAATAAAGTTTTAGGTGGGGGAGATATCACCTTCACCAAATGTAGCACATTTGTGTGTTTTTAACATTCAGAGAATTCTACCTTTTAAGGTTCTTGAGGTGACTTGCAAATTAACTAAAGTTTTAAAGTAACCTTTTTTTTCCATTGTAAATATTTCTAAAAATACTACCCATTGGAAATTAGAAAAGTAGAGTACTTTTCTGAATCCAGTCCTACTTTTATTTTACACAGTATTTCACAGCTGTGATCTCTGGAGCCAAAGCTAACCGCCGGAAAAAACAGTTTGTATGAGTTTCATGAAGTATGTCTCTGGGCTTTTGTAAATAATTTTAACTCAAATAAAACTACTTCTTGCAATACAAAAATAAAATTTAAAAAACTTAAATATTTTATTTATCTTCATCTCATCCTCTAGCATTTCTTTTTCTGTACATTCCATGATATAAAGTAACAAGTGTGATAATTTGTAAACAAATATGTATTAAAGGTGTGTGCTCAAAATTTTTTTGTTGTAACTTAAGAATGGCATACAATAAAAAAATACTTGAGTATGTGCTGGAAATTGTGTTTGAAAAGGTGTTTGTAGAAATCATTTGAAGCCTAGGACGATGAGCTTATTTCTTTGTTTCTGCCAGGCCTTAAGGCTACACTAATCCAGGATTCCCCTAATCCAATTTCAGAAATTGAACTTTTCTGGGTCAGCCCGATCAGTCAAAGCCAACCAGGCTTCAGGTGTATTTTCAGCCGCCCCTTTATTCCTGTGGTGAGGCCCTTCGGGGTCTGAGCCCTCTGTGCCTGGGATTCTCCAGAACCCCAGTCCCACAACTCCAGCTTTGCCCTTGTCACCCAGAGTTGTGGAAAGCACTGCTCAGCCTCATCTTAGGATCTCTGAATGCCCTCCCTGGGTAAAAGAGCCTCCAAACACCTGGTTCTTGTTTTAGATTTTTCTATTTCTATCTTCTCCCCAATCTTGGCCCACTTATTTCTCATTGTCTCATTAGCTCTTTAACTTTTTTTTTTTTTGAGATGGAGTTTCACTCTTGTTGCCCAGGCTGTAGTGCAATGGCCCAATCTCGGCTCACTGCGACCTCCGCCTCCTGGGTTCCAGCAATTCTGCCTCAGCCTCTTGAGTAGCTGGGATTACAAGCACCTGCCACCATGCCTGGCTAATTTTTTGTATTTTCAGTAGAGACGGGGTTTCTCCATGTTGGCTAGGCTGGTCTCAAACTCCTGGCCTCAGGTGATCCACCTGCCTCTGCCGCCCAAAGTGCTGGGATTACAGGAGTGAGCTACCGCACCCAGCCGATGTTTGTAAAAAGATTTTTGTTTTAATTCTGACTTTTTAGTTGGATTCAGCTAGAGAATTTGTCCAATTTATTTAGTCTACGATTACCAAAGGCATAATCAAAAACATTTAGAGACTACTGTCTTAGACTATGCCAGCAATCTCTTAATGAATCTGCAATCTTTTCTTACCCCTGATCTCTCCTCCACTTTACTGCCAGATCAATATTTTTAAAACAATGTTCCCATCAAGTCGTTTTGACTTGAGAGTCATCAGTGACTCACTGTATAGTGGCCCTGTACTATAACAATTTGGTGAAACTGGAATTTCCCAGTATTTCCTTTCCTTTATGTTTCTGGATCAGCGTTGGCCAATAAAGACACGTTGGATGATATTTGAGAGGTTGAAATGAAGCAGCTGCCATTTTTTTTATGCTTTAGTGACTGGTGAAGGGCAGGCATATTGTCACTGCTCTGCAGCTAGCTCACCTCGTAGGTATGGGAAAACACCCCAAAACACAGTTCCCCCATGTACTGTATTGAGCAGTGTTGTCCTGTCAAAATTCACATTCACCAGTAACATCAGAATGTGAACTTATTTGGTAATAGGGTCTTTGCAACTGTAATTAGTTATATTAAGATTAGGTCCTAATGGATTACGGTAGGCCCTAAATCCCATGACTAGTGTCCTTATAAGAAGGCCATGTGAAGACACGGCTACACAGACATGCAGGGAAGAATGCTGTGTGATGGTGGAGGCAGAGATTGGAGTGATGCAGCTTGGCCAAGGAAGGCCAAGGATTGCCACAGCCACCAGAAGCGGAAAAGACTCTCCCTTAGAGCCCTCAGAGGGAGCATGGCCCAGCCAATACCTTGCTTTTGGAGTCCTGGCTTTCTGAACTGTGAAAGACTAACTTTCTGTGGTCGAAGCCACCCAGTTTCTGTGGTACTTTCTTATGGCAGCCCTAGGAAACGAACACACTCCAGCTCCTGCCAGATCTCCCCCATCAGTTTCTTCAACTCCTGGACTGAGTGCATGCTCAGTTCCATAGTGAAGGGCACAAGCTTCTTCTACACATTATCTATGGCATCAAGGTTGGAAGTGGGGAGAGGAGGATGTTGGTTCCAGTTAGTCTTTGCAGGGTCTAGTTCTCTTTGTTGGTCCTAGTTTGCCCCTGCAGTTTCCAGTCGCCCTTACCCTTGTCCACATCCAACTTTCCTTCCCAACTGCTGTTTTAGCAACTGTAGGCTCAACACTAGGCATGGAAACAACAGCCTGCTTGGGCTGCCCTGTCAGCTCCCACAATTGCCTGAGACTTAACTCCTACAATAAATCCTGTATTCCATGCCCCTGTGGTGGTTCTGGCTTTCTGATCAAATTCTGACAGGCTCTTTTCCAAATCAAGTAAAAATGAATTGAATGCAAGCAATCCTGCTACCTAGTTCCATTAGGGCCAGGTGTGGTGACTCACACCTGTAATCCCAGCACTTTGGGAAGCTGAGGCGGGTGGGTCACTTGAGGTCAGAAGTTCGAGACCAGCCTAACTAACATGGTGAAACCATATCTCTACGAAAACATACAAAAATTAGCTGGGTGTGGTGGCGTGCACCTGTAGTCCCGGTTACTTGGGAGTCTGAGGCAGGAGAATCTTGAACCTGGGAGGCAGAGGTTGCAGTGAGCCAAGATCGCACCACTGCACTCCAGCCTGGATGACAGAGTGAGACTGTCTCAAAAAAATAAAAAATATATATAAATTAGGTTATTAAGATGCATGCATTTATTGAAGACATCCTAAGTGCAGGTGACACTGTGCCAGGTAAGCTCTTTCTATGTAGCATCTCATTACATTGTCAAAATGATTCCGTGGAGAGGGTACTACAGTTGCCCCTTGAACAACACAGGGTGGGGGTAGGGATGCTAAACCCCCCACGCAGTCAAAAACGTGTATATAACTTTTGACTTCCCAAAAACTTAACTACTAATATTGTCTACGAATGACTAGAAGCCTTACAAATAACATAAACAGTCAATTAACATGTATTTTGTATGTTATTTGTATTATATGCTATTATGTTATTTATACAAAAAAGTAAGCTAGAGAAAAGAAAATGTTATTAAGAAAATCATGCTGGGCGTGGTGGCTCACGCCTGTAATCCCAGCACTTTAGGAGGCTGAGGCAGATAGACCACGAGGTCAGGAGATCGAGACCATCCTGGCCAACACGGTGAAACCCCGTCTCTACTAAAAATAAAAAAATTAGCTGAGCGTGGTGGCGCGTGCCTGTAATCCCGGCTACTTGGGAGGCTGAGGCAGGAGAATCACTTGAACCCAGGAGTCAGAGGTTGCAGTGAGCCAAGATCGCACCACTGCACTCCAGCCTGGGCGACAGAGTAAGGGTCTGTCTCAAAAAAATAATAAATGAATAAAAAAAAGAAAAGAAAATCAGAAGGACTAGAAAATATATTTACTATTCATTAAGTGGAAGTGGATCATCATAAAGGTCTTCATCCTTGCAGTCTATACATTGAATAGGCTCAGGAGGAGGAAAAGCAGGGGTTGGTTTTGCTGTCTCAGCAATGGTAGGGGTGGAAGAAAACCCTTATATAAGTGAAACTGTGCAGTTCAAACCTATGTTGTTTGAGGGTCAATTGTATTATTATTAGTATTAAACATTAGTAAGAGGCTTAGGAAGATGAAGTCATTCAACCAAGTTAGTTAGAATTCAAACCCAGAGCTGAATTGCAGAGCAGGAACTTAACCACCATAGTCTCCCTCAACTCCAAATTTTTCAGAACTGAAAGGAACTGTTATCTTTTCCATGGAATCTTAGGCATCCTAACCATCACTCTCACAAACGTACTCATGACCTCAAGAATTTGCTCATGGTTTTTCTCTCAATCTTTCCTTTCTCCAGATCTTTTCCTGTCTGTGGTACAATGGAAACGAAATTTTAAGTTATACTGACCTGTGTTTGGATGTCAGTTCAACTCATTACCCACTACAAATTTTTTTAGAGTCACTAAGCCTCAATCACATCTGAAAAATCCTATGTTATACATGTAAAGTAATATTTAAAATAGTCCGCCAGGCGTGGTGGCTCACACCTGTAATCCTAGCTCTTTGGGAGGGCGAGGCACGTGGACCACCTGAGGTCAGGAGTTCGAGACCAGCCTGGCCAACGTGGCGAAACCCCGTCTCTACTAAAAATACAAAAATTAGCTGCGCATGGTGGCACGTGCCTATAGTCCCAGCTACTTGGGAGGCTGAGGCAGGAGAATCACTTGAACCTTGGAGGCAGAGGTTGCAGTGAGCCGAGATCACGCCACTGCACTCCAACCTGGATGACAAGAGTGAGACTCTGTCTCAAAAAAGAAAAATAAATAAGTAAGTCACATATATACACGTCTGGTTCCCTCTTGCTAGACTGGATTTTTCGTCTTTTTATAAACTATAACCCATAGTAAGAATGTATTTTGCATTGCAACTCAGTTCACACACACACTCCACTAATACATACACCCACATACATAAATAACTGAAATAAAACTTCCATAAGTAGTATTTGCCCTTACTACTTGTGATATACATTTATAGATTCTATTCTAGTCGTTAAAGTACCAGTCATGACTCTCACTGAATTAATTTCAGGATGCACATGAGAGGTGACAGCGTGCTGGCAGTCCTCACGGCCCTCGCTCGCTCTCGGCACCTCCTCTGCCTGGGCTCCCACTTTGGCTGCACTTGAGGAGCCCTTCAGCCCACCACTGCACTGTGGGAGCCCCTTTCTGGGCGGGCCAAGGCCAGAGCCGGCTCCCTCAGCTTGCAGGGAGGTGTGGAGGAAGAGGCGCGCGCCGGAACCGGGGGTGCGCGCGGCGCTTGCGGGCCAGCTGGAGCTCCGGGTGGGCGTGGGCTTGGCGGGCCCCGCACTCGGAGCAGCCGGCCGTCCCTGCCGGCCCCGGGCAATGAAGGACTTAGCACCCGGGCCAGCAGCTGCGGAGAGTGTACTGGGTCCTCCAGCAGTGCCAGCCCACCAGCGCTGCGCTCGATATCTCGGCGGGCCTTAGCTGCCTTCCCGCGGAGCGGGGCTCGGAACCCGCAGCCCGCCATGCCTGAGCCTCCCACCCCCTCCGTGGGCTCCTGTGCGGCCCAAGCCTCCCCAGTGAGCGCCACCCACTGCTCCACAGCGCCCAGTCCCATCGACCACCCAAGGGCTGAGAAGTGCGGGCGCAAGGCGGGACTAGCAGGCAGCTCCACCTGCAGCGCTGTGCGGGATCCACTAGGTGAAGCCAGCTGGGCTCCTGAGTCGGGTGGGGACGTGGAGAACATTTATGCCTAGCTCAGGGATTGTAAATACACCAATCAGCACCCTGTGTCTAGCTCAGGGTTTGTGAATGCACCAATCGACACTGTATCTAGCTACTCTGGTGGGGCCTTGGAGAACCTTTATGTCTAGCTCAGGGATTGTAAATGCACCAATCGGCACTCTGTATCTAGCTCAAGGTTTGCAAACACACCAATCAGCACCCTGTGTCTAGCTCAGGGTTTATGAATGTACCAATCAACACTCTGTATCTAGCTACTCCGGTGGGGCTTTGGAGAACCTTTGTGTCCACACTCTATCTAGCTAACCTAGTGGGGACATGGAGAACCTTTGTGTCTAGCTCAGGGATTGTAAATGCACCAATCAGTGCCCTGTCAAAACAGACCACTCGGCTCTACCAATCAGCAGGATGTGGGTGGGGCCAGATAAGAGAATAAAAGCAGGCTGCCCGAGCCAGTAGTAGCAACCTGCTCCCGTCTCCTTCTGCCCTTGGGAAGCTTTGCTCTTTTGCTATTTGCAATAAATTATGCTACTACTTACTTTTTGGGTCAACACTGCTTTTTATGAGCTGTAATACTCACTGTGAAGGTCTGCAGCTTTGCTTCTGAAGTCAGTGAGACCACGTAGCCCACCGGGAGAAACAAACAACTCCAGACACACTGTCCTAAGAGTTGTAACACTCACTGGGAAGGTCTGCAGCTTTATTCCTGAGCTAGGGATACTGTGGACCCACCAAAAGGAAGAAAGTCTGAACACATCCAAACACCAGCAGGAATAAACTCCAGACACGCCACCTTAAGAGCTATAACACTCAACTGTGAGAGTTGGTGGCTTCATTCTTGAAGTCAGTGTAGACCAAGAACCTACCAATTACGGACACACTCAGATGGGTCAACATTGAAAAACACTGAGCTAGGCTGGGCTATTTTACAACAGGGAGCATATTTATTTTTGTACTGCTAGTGGCAAGCAGTGCATGGCATGAAGTAGGTGTAGGTGTTTGGTAGATAATTGGTGTAGGACTGGATTTATCCACAAGGGCAGGAATCTGTCTTACCTTGTATCCACCCTACATTTAGCATATTCTTCCCACGATATTTAATGATCGAATGGCTAAAATTTGTGAGGCTTTAGAGATAAAACATTTGGATCGAAATCTGACGAGCACCTACTATGTGATACATAAATGGTAAAACCATAGCTTCTCTCTTTTAATACCAATCTAATGAGACGTGACTCCTCTTAATTATCGTAAAAGAAGTATGGGATTGCTGAGAGAAAACACTGCTCAACTGCGAAAACAAGAAGACATTTGGAGGCGAAAATATTACCTTTAGTAATAAGGCTACATCAGAGAACAAAAATAGTGTATGAGCCAGTCAGGCCTGTTGATTGGACCTAAGTGGAAGCACCTAGGGTGGACCTCCCTTTGCTGCTGGCCTGTGTGGATATAAGGCATAAACAGCTCAGATTTAAGAGGAATGTGGGAAAAGTGGAGCTCTGCAAAACCAGTTTTTCCTAAAGGCACCAATTAAGTAAATCACTCCTCCCCTGACCAGGGACAGAGGGGATAAAAGAGCATAGAGAGACCAGACGTAGTTTTTTTTTTTTTTTTTTTTTTTTTTTTTTTTTTTTTTTTGAGACAGAGTCTGGCTCTGTCACCCAGGCTGGAGTGCAGTGGCGCGATCTCGGCTCACTGCAAGCTCCGCCTCCCGGGTTCACGCCATTCTCCTGCCTCAGCCTCCCGAGTAGCTGGGACTACAGGCACCCGCCACGACGCCCGGCTAATTTTTTGTATTTTTAGTAGAGATGGGGTTTCACTGTGTTAGCCAGGATGGTCTCGATCTCCTGACCTCATGATCCGCCTGCCTTGGCCTCCCAAAGTGCTGGGATTACAGACGTAAGCCACTATGCCCGGCCCCAGACATAGTATTATTACACCACCTGAGCTGCCTCCCTCATGGAAGGAAATAGCAGAGGAGGAAAGGTAAGTGTTCCCCCACTAAGAATCAGATATGGGAAAGAAGACATATGTACATATTTGTATTTACATGTGTGTATTTATACTGCTGTGGTTTGAATGTTGGTGTCCCCCCAAAATTCTTATGTTGGAACCCAATGCCCAATGTGACACTATTAAGAAGTGGGGCTTGTGGGAAATGATTAGGTCATGAGGACTCCACCCTCTTGAATGAGATTAGTACCCTTGTAAAAGAAGCTCAAGGGCTGGGTGTGGTGGCTCATGCCTATAATCCTAACACTTTGGGAGGCTGAGGCCAGCGGATCACTTGAGTCTGGGAGTTTGAGACCAGCCTGGGCAACATGGTGGAACCCCATCTCTACAAAAAATACAAAAAATTAGCCAGGAGTGGTGGTGCATGCCTATAGACCCAGCTACTCTAAAGGCTGAGGTGGAAAGATCAGCTGAGCCCAGGTATGTCGAGGCTGCAGTGAGCCATGATCGTGCCACTGCACTCTAGCCTGGGCGGAGAGTGATAACTTGTCTCAGAAAAAAACAAAAACAAAAACAAAAGAACTCGAAAAGCTTGAGCGAACTGCCTTGCCTCTTCCACCTTGTAAGGACACAGCAAGAGGTGCCATCTATGAAGCAGCGAGCCCTCACCAGACATTGAATCTGCTGGCACTTTGATCTTGGACTTCTTAGCCTCCAAAACTGTATGCAATAAATTTCTGTTGTTTACAAACTACCCAATCTAAGGTATTTTGTTACAGCAGCCTGAAGTAAGACATATATGAACATATATATATATATATATATATATATGAAGTGCTAAATATAAAACAATCCAAGGGCTATCACAAGGTGGGCACACAATTGCTAAATGTAATTTACACTAGCATTTCTCAAGTCTGTTCATCAAAACATGGAGAACATTAAAAAAATTACAGGTCCTCTATACCTCCTTCCCTGCCTTCAGTATTCCTGATATGAAAGTTACGAAATTTTTTTTTTTTTTTTAAACAGAGTCTTGCTTTGTCTCCCAGGCTGGAGTGCAGTGGTGTGATCTTGGCTCACTGCGACCTCCATCTCCCGGGTTCCACAAATTCTCCCTCCTCAGCTTCCCAAGTAGCTGGGATTACAGGCACGTGCCACCATGCCTGGCTAAATTTTTTTGCATTTTTAGTAGAGATGAGGTTTCACCTTGTGGTCCAGGCTGGTCTTGAACTCCTGACCTCAAGTGATCCTCCTGCCTCGGCCTCCCAAAGTGCTGGGATTACAGGCATGAGCCACTGCGCCCGGCCCAAAATCTAGGAATGTTTTTAAAGCTCCCTGGATAATTCCAATGTATAAACAAGACTGATAACTAGGTGTAGTGGCTCACGCCTGTAATTCCATCACTTTGGGAGGCCAACGCAGGCAGATTACTTGAGCGCAGGAGTTCGAGACCAGCCTAGGTAATATGACGAAAACCTATCTCTACAAAAAATAAAATTAGCAGGGCATGGTGATGCACGCCTGTGGTCCCAGCTACTCAGGAGGCTGAGGTGGGAGGATCACTTGAGTCCGGGAGGTCGAGGCTGCAGTAAGCCATTGGCTTAGAGGAGCTAGACAGACGAGTGAACAGGAGTCAGGGAGGTCTTATTGAGGAGGAATGTGGACAGACATTGCAGAAGTAGGAGTGAGGCTATCAGAAAGGAGGAAGCAGAACATTTTATATAGGGAAGAGAATAGTAAAAGGACTCTGGAAATAGCTGTGGCTTATTTTTTTATTTTTATTAAAATGGAGTCTCACTCTATCACCCAGGCTGGAGTGCAGTGGTGTGATCTTGGCTCACTGCAACCTCTGCCTCCTGGGCTTAAGCGATTCTCCAGCCTCCTGAGTAGCTGGGATTACAGGCATCTGCCAGCACGCCCAGCTAATTTTTGTACTTTTAGTAGAGACGAGGTTTCACCATGTTGGCCAGGCTGGTCTTGAACTCCTGACCTCAGGTGATCTGTCCACCTCAGCCCCGAAAGTGCTGGGATTACAGGTGTGAGCCACTGCATCCGGCCAGCTGTGGCAGACAGGATGAGACTGTCTCAAAAACAAAAATAAAAAACAACCATGCTTAGGCCCTACTCCCAGAGATTCTGTTCATTTGGTATGGGGATGAGGTCTAGCCATTCGTAATTTATAAATCTCCCTACGTGATTTGAAATGTGCATCCAGAGTTGAGAAACATTGAAAAGGCTTAGAGCAATGGCCAGGTTTATTTCCTTCTTGTGGGTTTTGCACTAGCTGTTCCCTTTACCTGGTATGTTCTTCTCTAGGTCTTTCCATGAATCCTTGTTGTCATTCAGGACTCAGATTAAATGTTACTTCCTCAGGAAGACCTTCCCTGATCCCCCAACAAGCTAAAATAACACACCTACATTTATCACACTGTCTTGCTATTAATAGCAGTTCCTGAGATTTCTCTATTTATGCTTATTGTCTGTTTTTTTCCAACTGTCATATAAGCATCTTGAGTAAAGGCACTTTGTCTTATTCACTGCTGTATCCCCAGCACTTAGAACAGTGCCTGGCCCCTATAGGTATTCCAATATATGTGAATCAAAGAGAAAAAGGTCCTTTAAAATAAATTATTTTAGTTCTTCCGATGGCTGTTTTCTTTTCTTTTCTTTTTTTTTTTTTTTTTGATAAGAGTCTCTCTGTTGCCCAAGCTGGAGTGCAGTGGTGTGATCTCGGCACACTGCAACCTTGGCCTCCTGGGTTCAAGCGATTCTCCTGCCTCAGCCTCCTGAGTAGCTGGAATTACAGGCGCCCACCACTACCCCCGGCTAATTTTTGTATTTTTAGTAGAGACAGGGTTTCACCATGTTGGCCAGGCTGGTCTCGAACTCCTGACTTCAGGTGATCTGCTCGCCTTAGCCTCCCAAAGTGCTGGGATTACAGGCGTGAGCCACCTCGCCTAGCCCTGACGCGTATTTTCAACTGGCTTTTAATAAAATGTGTTTTAATTATGCAACATAATTGAACCACCCATGAAAAAAGCACACACTGATTTTTTGTAAATATATCTTAATTGCACTGGGTTCATTCTCTTCACAGGAATCTATATTAAATCTGTTGCAAAGCAAGTAATTATCCTTTAATGTATTTTTATACATGGTATTTGTTCCTAATGTTGCTTCTTAGGGAATACAGTTCACATAGTAGGGCAGCTGGGTATGGCAGGATACATTTATTAAATCAAGGGATTGCTGCTTAGAACTTTTGTGTTTGTTTTTGGAGACAGAAGACAGGAAACTGTAATTTTTAGAAGAGTAAAAAGGTATCTCAGGGAGCAAAAGAATCACAGGAAAACTCGAAGGCTCTGATTCCTTCTAAAAGAGGGACACATTTACCCTCTATTCTTCTGGGGGCACCTCTTTAACAAATGAATGTAATCTGGCGGAAGTGGGGAGTTTCAATTTTGGGTGGAGATACAGTAGTTGAGATTACTACAGTGTCTTGTTTCGTAGAGGTGTAAGCCAGTGCGGCAAAATCTCCAAGCTTGGTCTCAAGGAGGCAGCTGGGTCTAACTTACAACTCAGGCAGGTGATTTGAGGGCAGTGCAGCTGTCCTTAAGTCACCCGCGGGCCATTTCTGAAATGCTTTACTTACGAAAAGATAGAACATAACATCTGTTGCAGGGGGAAAATGAGATTTCGTGTCCTGACCCGCGTCTGCGGCAGGGACCTGAGTTCTTCCTCCAAGTCCCAAATAGCCAACCTTCGCCCCCGGCAACAGGGCTAGGTGCACGAGCAACCAGTTTTTCAGGCAGCCGCCTCCTCTTTCCTCTCTCGCCGTACTTCATCGATTACGGCTAGAAACAAAACGACTTTGTATACGGAGTAATGGTTGAAATCTCACTGGCGCCTCAGCAGGACGGGCAGCCAGATCCGCGGCTTTGGAGAAGGCCAGCCCACGGTCGTCCGACTGAGGCGACTTGAGCAAGACCAAAGGCAGAGCCGCCCGAGAATGAAAGCAGCGAAGCCCGAGTGGCGGTGCATTCTGGGAGTTGTAGTCCCTGCGAGACAACGCCGTCCCGACTCCACCAGGCTCTGCACTCCATCTCCCAGCCGACCCCGCGCCGCGGAGGAGGCGAGCTTGGTGATGAGCTGCCCCAGCGGTAGGGGGCCTGGGGCGGAGAAGCCGCTACAGCCGCGGCCGGGCGACGCTGACATCTGGCATCCCTGGGGTCTCAGAGACACGGGTGGACAGCGACGAGGGCCTTGTGGCCGCCGTGTGTACCCGTGCTTACCCTCTGTCCTCCCTACAGGCGCGCGGCGTCCGCCATGGAAGCGCATCCGACCGCTGGGGTCTCTGGGTGCCGCGGCCTCGGCTCTCCGGGGCGATGAGGGACTAGAGGCGCCCTGAGGCCCGCCTGCCTCCCGCGCTCTGGCCACCCCGGCGGGAAAAGGATCGGGCGGGCGGGCGGTCCCACAGTGCCCGCCTTTGCGCCGCCCCACCCCCTGGGGGCGCTGCCGAGGGGGCGCCAGCCGCCCATGCCGCCCCGGCGCCCAGCCGCGCCTGGCGCCCGCCGCTGAAGCGCAGGACGCGCCGCCGCCCGCGCTCACCGCCGTCCGCGCCAGCCGCCCCGAGCCGACTGCCCTTCTGCCCCCAAGATGTGGCACAGCGTCGGGCTGACTCTGCTTGTGTTCGTGGCCACGCTGCTGATCGTCCTGCTGCTGATGGTGTGCGGTGAGTGGGGGCGGTAGCCGCGAGGCAGTTCCACACGCCGGGTCGCTGATCTGCTGGGGTTTTTTTTGTTGTTTGTTTTTTTGAAAAAAACAAAAGGGCGTGGACGGACAATTGTCTTAAAATCAACTGTTGTCCCTTAGCCTCTAGGGCTGAGCGCAGAGGTGGGCCCTTTACTCATGGCCGGCCCTCGGGCATCCTGGGGAGGGAAAGGACAGGCTCCAGGGCTTCCTGCCTCTGAGTGAAACTCAGCCTTGCTTCACCGGCAGCGTCTGCTCTTTCATTCTCACCACAGGCTGCCCAGATTGTAACCTTGGCCTGCATTCGAAGGTGAAGTGATTGATTGGTCCTTTTTCATTTGCACAGATTCTGACCTTAATAATGAGAGGTGTCACCTTCGTTTCATCAGCGAGTGGGGTAGAGTTGGGTTTTCAGCACGCGTGAAATTGTTTACTTAGAGTTCAGCCTTAAACTCAATTCCAAGCAGAGATGTGGAGACCAGGCAGAGCTTAGAAACACCGGCTATATTAAACTTGCAGGGTCGGGTAACCTAACTCTCAGTTCTATAATAATGGTGCTATTTCGAATGCTGTGCGTATTTTCCTTCTTGGAATGAGAGGACGTTCAACTTTTTTCTTCAAATAATGGTAGCCCAATTTTAGATCTTTTTGATTTCTTTGTACATGTATAGTAGCTGATAACCACAGGTCTCTTAGCAAAGTGGCTAAGCAATTGTGAAAATCTAAAAAGTACGTAGAACACGTGTCAGTGAGTTTACACATATTTATAAGACTGAAGTATGGGTTCAGGTTGATGTAATAATGGGTCAGAATTCATACAGATACTATAGGGCTTGTTCATTACACGATAAATGTACAAATTAATACTTAGTGACGCTGTGGAATATATGTGTGCACTTGTGCATATGCATGTGTATGTATTTATAAACTTATATGTTTATTTTATTTTTTGAGATGGAGTCTCGCTCTTGTTGCCCAGGCAGGAGTGCAATGCAGTGGCCTGATCTTGGCCCACTGCAACCTCTGCCTCCTGGGTTTAAGTGATTCTCCTGCCTCAGACTCTCGAGTAGCTGTAGCCGGGATTACAGGTGCCCGCCACCATGCCCAGCTAATTTTTGTATTTTTAGTAGAGATGGGGTTTAACCGTGTTGGTCAGGCTGGTCTTGAACTCCTGACCTCATGTGATCTACCCGCCTTGGCCTCCCAAAGTGCTGGGATTACAGGCATGAGTCACTGCATCCGGCCTTGTATGTATGTTTAAAATTTGTTGTGCTTTTCTGTAACACCAGGTTAAAGCTTCTAATTTACAGCCTTTCTTTTCTGATGAGATAAAGCAATTGAATAACCTTTCTCAATTTTCTGCTTGTGATATCAACAAGCAGAAGAATATTAGAATATTGAACTAATTGTAGATGTTTAAGGTTCTTGAAGTAAGGAAAACAAAATCCTTGTGATATGTTTGGATGTGGGGAAGGAGGGAAAGCATTTATTACCCTTTCTAGTTTGAAAATGCGAGCTACCTGGACATGGGAATGAATGTGACACGTAGACCCTACCATACCTTCACTAGGATATTTGCCAAATTTACCTTTATGGCTTCAGAAATCCAAATTGCTCTCTCATCTCTAAACAGCTGTTTGATGGTTTAATTATACACATTTTTCTAAAAGTGCTTTTAGTTTCAGAAACATTAAGGAATAAGAGAGATGAGGTGTGCTAGGACAGCAGTCCCCAACCTTTTTGGTACCAGGGACTTGTTTTGTGGAGAACAATTTTTCCACAGACGGAGCAGGGATGGTTTTGGGATAAAATTATTCCAGCTCAGATCATCAGGCATTAGTTAGATTCTCATAAGGAGCGAGCAACCTAGATCCCTCCTATGTGCATTTCACAATAGGGTTTGTGCTCCTATGAGAATCTGGTATGTCGCTGATCAGACAGGAGGCGGAGCTCAGATGGTAATACTTGCCTCCTGCAGGGAGGAGGGATCTGTGTGCTAGGGCTGGAGAGCCCTGTGCTAGGACACCTTAGTTTTTGGAATAGTCAAGAACTAAAAGCTCTATGATGAAGTGATCAATACTTTTTTTGTTGTTGTTGGGAGAACTGATGATGGAGTAGCCTCATCTTTTGACTAGGATGGGGCGGGAACTTGGGGAGAGGAGGCAAGGATCAGACCAGACTTAAGAGAGAAATTGGAGTGCGATATTAGTTTGCCAGGGCTGCCATGACAAAATACCAGAGACTGGTGGGTGGCTTAAACAACTCATTTCTTTTCTTTGTTTTGCTTTTTTTTTTCTTTTTTCTTTTTTTGAGTTGGAGTTTCACTCTCGTTGCCCAGGCTGGAGTGCAATGGCGTGATCTCGGCTCACCGCAACCTCTGCCACCCGGGTTCAAGCAATTCTTCTGCCTCAGCCTCCTGAGTAGCTGGGATCACAGGCATGCGCCTAGCTGATTTTCTGTTTTTAATAGAGATGGGGTTTCTCCATGTTGGCCAGGTTGGTCTCGAACTCCCAACCTCAGGTGATCCACCCGCCTCGGCTTCCCAAAGTGCTGGGATTACAGGCGTGAGCCACAGTGCCCGTCCCCAGTGCCTGGCTAATTTTGTATTTTTAGTAGAGATGCGGTTTCTCCATGTTGGTCAGGCTGATCTCGAGCTCCCGACCTCAGGTGATCTGCCCACCTCGACCTCCCAAAGTGCTGGGATTACAGGCATGAGCCACCCATGCCCAGCCAAACGCATTTATTTTTTTACAGCTCTGGAAGCTAAAAGTCAGAGATCAGCAGGGTTGATTTTCTCCTGAGGCTTCTCTCCTTGGCTTGTAGATGGTGGTCTTCTCCTTATGTCTTCACATAGTCTCTCCTTTGTGTGTTCTAATCTCTTTATAAGGACATCAGTCGCTGGATTATGGCTCCTCACCCTATGACTTTATTTAACCTTAATTACCTCTTTAAAAATCTTTATCTGCAGGCCGGGCATGGCGGCCCATGCCTGTAATCCCAGCCCTTTGGAAGGCAGAGGCAGGCAGATCACCTGAGATCAGGAGTTCGAGACCAGCCTGGCCAACATGGCGAATCCCCGTCTGTGCTAAAAAAAAAAAAAGAATACCAAAAATTTGCCGGGCATGATGGCACATGCTTGTAATCCCAGCTGCTCAGGAGGTTGAGGCAGGAGAA
This sequence comes from Homo sapiens, assembly GCF_000001405.40. Lineage (NCBI taxonomy): Eukaryota > Metazoa > Chordata > Mammalia > Primates > Hominidae > Homo > Homo sapiens. Next base: position 11,097,581 of record NC_000006.12, read on the forward strand.
CTGCTTGAACCCAGTAGGTGGAGGTTGCAGTGAGCCGACATTGCACCATAGCACTCCAGCCTGGGTGACAAGAGTGAAACTCCGTTTCAAAAAAAAAAAAAAAACCTTATCTCCAAATACCGTACAGTCACACTGGGGGTTAGGATTTCAACATATGAATTTGGATGGCACACGATTCACTCTATAACAAGCACCATGTCTTTAGCACTGGCTGAAAGCTAGGGAGTAGCTGTATGCCCATAAAACAGTTGTTTTTACCCTTCTAGCGGTCACAAGCCCTTTTGAGAGTCTGGTAAATGCTGTGAACCTTTCTTTTTTTTTAAAAAAGAAAAATTCACCCACATAACTTATCTGCTCCCTGCTCGCCGCCCCCCCACCCAATTTCTGAGATTTCATGGACTCCTCTTCCTTGAATACAAACATGGAGTTCAGATCAAGAGGCTCTGCTCTTTGGGCTGGGTCTCCTGTTTTCTTATTTCATTCAGTTCAACAAACTGAATATTGAGTGTCTACCAGGAACTGGGAACACAGTTCCTGTCCCTAGGAATTTATGTAGTTTTCTCTAGAGCTCTGACAGACTCCTTCACCTAGTGAATTCTGATGTCCAAAGTTCAGATTCCTAGGCAGGTTTCCCTTCTGTCTACATTGGTTGTCTCTGCTTTCTCACCTCTCATTCATTCCAAGGTGTTTTCTACCCCCACTATTCAGTGATGCTGCTGTTGTCAAAGTCAGTAACAGATGGCCTCCATATTACCCAGCCTGTGGTGGTCGCTTCTTAGTCCTAACTGAGCTTAAATTGTCATATTCATTCCTTACAGTTAAGTGATGTCTGCTAGAAACATTTAACGTTTCTTTTATTTACTTTTTTTGAGATGGAGTTTTGCTCTTGTTGCCCAGGCTGGAGTACAGTGGTGCAATCTTGGTTCACTGCAACTTCTACTCCTGGGTCTAAGTGATTCTCCTGCCTCAGCCTCCTGAGTAGCTGAGATTACAGGTGTCAGCCACCATGCCCAGCTAATTTTTTGTATTTTTAGTAGTGACGGGGTTTCACCATGTTGGCCAGGCTTGTCTTGAACTCCTGACCTCAGGTGATCCACTTGCCCCGGGCTCCCAGGGTGCTGGGACTACAGGCATGAGCCACCATGCCGGGTCCATTCAACATTTCTTTGGCTTTTATATACTGTATTTCCATGATGTTCTTCCTACCACAGTGGCTATTATTTTTTCTTAGCTTCTTCTCATTCCCTAGAATTTTCTTTTTTTGACCACAACCTACAATAGAAAATAGATTATTCCTAATATGTTCATAAGTGTACAGATTACATGTGTTAGTCCATTAATACATCTATTTACTTATCATCGATCTCTGAAATAAAATGTTTATGGACTAGTACTTGCCTACTTGCCCTTACTGTATGAGAAGATTCTATTTTTTTCTATTATGTTTCTATAATATACTGCAAATACATTTCCCTTTTCTTTTACTCCCCAAGGTCTCCTATCCAGTCCTAGAGATTTAAATGTCTGCTCTAGCTAATGACTCAAAAATTTGTTTCTCTAACTCTTATGTCTCTCCTGAGACCCAGGCTCAATGCATCAGACTTTTTTTTTTTGAGACGGAGTCTAGCTCTGTCGCCAGGCTGGAGTACATTGGCGCGATCTCGGCTCACTGCAACCTCCACCTCCTGGGTTCAAGGGATTCTTCTGCTTCAGCCTCCCGAGTAGCTGAGATTATAGGCGCCCGCCACCACACCCGGCTGGTTTTTGTATTTTTAGTAGCGATGGGGTTTCACCATGTTGGCCAGGATGGTCTCAATCTCCTGACCTCGTGATCCACCCGCCTCAGCCTCCCAAAGTGCTGGGATTACAGGTGTGACCCACCGTGCCTGGCCCATACTACATGTTTTACTTGTCCATCATCTGTCTCCCACACTAGAGGGTAAGGCCCAATGAGGGCAGGCATTTTGTTTTCTTCACTACTATATCCCTGACACCTACAGAAGTGTCTGGCACATAGTAGACACTCAATAAACATTTGTTCAACAAATGAATAGATGAATGCTGCAGAATACCCAAGCTCCTACAAATGAAACACCTGATATGCCCAATGGAGATCTCAATACAACAGATAAGAGTTTATTTCAATTCTGTTACTCCAGTTCTCCTAGTGGTGAGGGTAGAGGTAGAGAAGCATCATAAGCTTTACAGACCTAAATAGCCACTATATATTTTTAGACATTATTAACCGTGGTAGATGCTCCATCCATTTCTTTCTCTGCTTGCCATTGATAATACATTTAGCTGACTTAATAGTGTGGATTTATATTTTGACTCTGTAAACATTATTCTCTGCTGGTTAAATAGTGTAATATGACCACACTTTCATTTTTACATGGTTCTTCAATTTTTTGAAGTTAATACATAATTGCCTTTTTAGCTTACCTAGTATTACTTTGGTACATTGTTTTTTTGTTTTTGTTTTTGTTTTTGTTTTTTTTGAGAGGGAGTCTCACTCTGTTGCCCAGGCTGGAGTCCAGTGGCGTGATCTCGGCTCACTGCAGCCTCCACCTCCTGGATTCAAGCGATTCTCCTGCCTCAGCCTCCCGAGTAGCTGGGACTACAGGTGCCTGCCACCATGCCCAGCTAATTTTTTGTACTTTTAGTGGAGATGAGGTTTCACCGTGTTAGCCAGGATGGTCTCGATCTGCTGACCTCGTGATCCACCTGCCTCGGCCTCCCAAAGTACTGGGATTATAGGCATGAGCCACGGTGCCTGGCCTACTTTGGTACATTGTTATGTGCCCCCTACCAGATGTTCCACAATCTCTTACACTCATCAGTGGTATTTCCCACGTGTTCAAATGGATTGCTTTTCCCCTCCTTCCCCCACCCAGATCCAGAACCTTCCTTCTTTCTCAACAGCTGTCATTCTGCAGAAAGTTGTACTTTCTCTATTATCCTCTTCTGTACCCTGTTTTCTGGATCTCATGTCATTATCTTTTTCAGTTTCCATTCTTTTTTTGTTGGAGCACATTTTCTAGTAGCTTTCTAGGAAAGAATGCATGAAAAATTTTTTTTTGAGCTAATGCATACCTGAAAATGTCTCTATTTATTTATATTTTACCTTTATACTTGATTGATAATTTGAATAGATTTTGGGGTTATAGATTTTCACCCAAAATTTAAAAATGGTTACCCCATTGATTTCTTGCTTCTAGGTCTGGTATTGAAAAATTTATTGCCTTCTGTTTCCTTGTCATTATACATGACTTGGTTTCTCTTTCAAGATGCTTTTTGGATAGCCTTTTTGTCATTGTATACTGAAATGTCATAATGATGTACCTTTGTGTGTGTCTCTTTCATTTTTCTAGGTCCCTTCAGTTCAGATTTTTTCCTCATTTGTGGAGAAATTTTCTACTAGATTTGTGATCAATTTCCTCCTCTCCATTTTCTTTTTTTTTTTTTTTTCTGTTCTCTCTGAAACTTCTGGTAGTTGTATGCTGGACCTTTTGGGTTGATTCTTTAATTTTATCTTTTTATCTCCTAATTCCCTCCTCCCCCTTTCTTCTGGAGGATGTTTGGGGCTTTATCTTCTGTCTCTTAAATTGAGTTTTTAATTTTAGCTGTCCAGTTTTTAATTTCAGAACTTGGTTGTTCTATGTTTAGCGTTGGACCTGGGCTGATCTGTGACTGTGTGATCAAGTCACACAGCTAGCGTTGCCGCTTGCTAGCTGTGTGGCTTGAGGAATGCAGTCAACCTCTCTTATTTCAGCAAGTAGATAAATTCACAAATAATTCAGGAATACTGAGGTTCGACTTTGTTTCTGCTTATTTATCTTACATTGAGGTACTATAACTGTAATAGAGCTGTTTCTCGCAATACCAGGTTGCAGTGAAGAGGTTCTATGGTAGGGCTTCCGAAGGAGGAGATGGAAGGAAACACCAAATCCATCTTGGAGGGGTTTGGGGCTAGGGTTTAAGGGTTTTGGAGTGGGCCGATTGATTGGTCAAAGAGTGCAGGGGTGAAACCATGGAACAGGGAGATGAAGACACTATTCTCATGCTGATTTGATTCCTCTGTAGGGTGTCTTTAAACTGGTCTTATACTGGTGACAGCTGTTTTACTGTAATTCCAGAACCTGAAAAACATCTTAAGCAATTCTTTTTTTTTTTTTTTTGAGACAGAGTCTCATCTGTCGCCCAGACTGGAGTGGAGTGGCACAATTGCCGCTCACTGCAACTTCCCCCTCCTGGGTTCAAGTGATTCTCCTGCCTCAGCCACCCAAGTAGCTGTATTACAGGCATGCGCCACCACACCCTGCTAATTTTTTGTATTTTTAGTAGAGACAGGGTTTCACTATGTTGGCCAGGCTGGTCTTGAACTCCTGATCTGGTGATCCGCCCACCTCAGCCTCCCAAAGTGCTGGGATTACAGGTGTGAGCCACCACGCCTGGCCTCATCTTTAGCAATTCTTAAAAGCCTTATAATTCTAACTCAAAAATCTTATTTTTAGGAACCATGGAGATGTAAATGGACAGTATCTAGTGTATTGTGACTTTTGGTTACAAGAAAATGGGTCAAAATGCAGCTTGATTAATGCTTAATTATAATTATGTTTCTGTCCAGAATTCTCATTAACCCTGTGAGGATGGCTTCAGTACAGGTGGATATATATGAATTAATTGACTTTTGAAAAATCAATTTTTAAAGATTAAATTTGGTTTTAGAAATTTAAACTATCCTTAGATTAATACAGTTTTATTTAGGATAATGTACACCTTTCAAAGATAGTAGATTGAGGTAAAATGTGTTGATTACAGAAAAGTGTGAACAAATTTTGTAGGTTGTCTAGTTCATTGGTTTTCCTACAATCTGCAAAGATGTGTTAAGAAATCAACTTAGGCACATTAGCATTTTAGAGAGTTTATTTGAGCAAGGGTGATTCATGAACAGGCAGGGCCAAACTGCAAGCAACTGGGTCTCTACTACAGAGGTACAAGGGGGAAAATTTTATAAGGTTCCCACAGAAGCAAGACAAAGAAAATACTTGGTTAAAGTTGAAAGGACCTAGTTAGAGGTTAGATGGTGGTTTCTAATTGGTTAAGCTTGTTTGGCTGTTTACACTGAGTCGGGTGTTAGTTTGCTTGGTGCTGGAACCTAAATGGTGGAACTGTTACCAGCAGCAAATCCAATGGGTCTGCAGCAGACTCCATCCTTGCCCCCCGGAGGAGAGGAGGGAATTTGGCCGGGGAGGCGTAAGGTAGCATGATAGTCCAAGGCAAGTTTTATAGCAGGAGTAAAAGTTTTAGAGCAAGAACAAAAGGAAGCAAAGTGCACTTGAAGAGAGCCAAGCGGGTGACTTGAGAGATCCAATTGCCTTGGTAGGCCCTTGACTTGGGGTTTTATACATTGGCATTGTTCCGGGGTTTCCATTTCTCCTCCTCTGATTTTTCTTTGGGGCGGGCTGTCTGCATGCACAGTGGCCTGCCAGCACTTGGGAGGGGACGCATGTGCAGTGTTTTTACTGAAGTTGTGCACGTGTTCACTGGAGGAGTTTTTCCCTTACCAGTCAAGCCTTCCTAAAGGAAGGTCATATATGAGTTAAATGCCACTATTTTGCCTCTTAGGGTGCATGCTTGAGCCTGCGCACCCAACTCCTGAGATCTTATCAGGAAGTGGCTGATCACCAGCTTCAGGTGTTTCCTATCTATTGGGAGGCCATCGTTCCCTGGCGCCAGCTGCCACTCATTATTATGTTAGAGACACAGCTTAACAACTGCCTCACCATCACCTGATGGTTGCCTGACATTCCTGGTGAGGGGGCCCTCCCCTGCCCTGCTCATGTCTGACTAGCTACCTGCTCCAACATTTCCCCCCCTCAAGAGTCCAAGACCCAATTATCTGGGAAAATGGACGAAGGTCAGTCTTCTTTAACTGCTTCCTGCTGACAGAGGGGCTGTAGTGGTTGTTCTGTGGGTCTTGGCCTCTTGCTAGCTGTCAGGGCAGGATGGCTCTGTGGATTGGCAAAAACCATATCCAGCCAGGTCCACGGGAGACGGGGCAGGATTTCGCCTCTGTCGTGTTCCACTAGCGAGCAGTCTAGGGGTCCTCCTTAGAAGGGTGACTCTTGAATATTGCGAGGATGGCGTCCTGCACTGAGATTCGTCTGGAGCTTTATGGCCTGAAGGCGAGAGGAGACAAATTGGGTTATTAGATTTAGGAGACATGGACCAAAAAGGAGCAAAAGTAGGAGACTAACAAGTGGGCCTGTAAGGGGAAGAACCCAAGAGAACCATTTCCAAGTTCCTTCCCAATTTAACCAACCCTGAGTGGCTCGTTCCCGTAAACTGGAGGCTTGATTTAGGAGTTGTCTGATGTTGTCTTGTACTTTTCCTGATTGATTTACCCAAAAGCAACATTTTTCATCTAAGGCCAAACAAATTCCTCCCTGTGCTGCCGTTAACATGTCTAGTCCTCGACGATTTTGAAGGACTACGGCTGCTAAAGAGTCGATTTGTTCTTGCATGGTCGTTAAGGCTTTAGCCATGGTGTCAATGTTGTTGGCTATTTCCTTTGAGAGCTGGCTATAGGTGAGGGAAGCTTTTGTGATTCCAGCAATTCCGGTTCCCGTACCAGCTAGAATGCCGAGTCCCGCGAGAAGGGGAATGAAATGGATTGCCCTCCTCACCCTGGGCAACGGGGAATTCCCATAGATTGGTATTGGAAGAGAGAGATTGCCAGGGGCTATGAAGATGTCTGGGGTTACATAGCCTATGGTACAAGTTCCAGTCCAGTTACTGGGGAGGCATTGGTGAATCGACTGGCCACAAATATAAAAGGCTCCTTGAGTTTTAAGGCATGTAGAGATATGGAAATGAAATAAGGGGGTGAGGGAGGTTCCAAAAAATTCTGAGACTGCTGATATGCCCAGGTAGCTGGTGGCTATAGTCATGCCTGCTAAGACTTGGACGCAGGGTGTTTGGCTCTGGTTAGCTCCCTTGGTTTTATTTTCCCAAAAAAGAGAATTTCGAGTTTGGTCCAATAGAACCCATTCCGCTGTAGAGCTGAGGTTGGAAATTTGCAGACATTGGTTATAATCAGCAGGCCGGAACCAGAAGTTTCGAGTACTGCATGAGCTTGGGCGTCCCTGGCAAAACCGGCTGGATTTATCTAGCAAAGTTCCCTGAGGAAAAGTAATATTTGGAGGTTTGGGGAATCTTGGTTGATGGCGGAATTGGTTGTGGGTGTATGTTTGGTAAGTCTGTTGGTTAGAATCTACAGTGAAAGTAACATTACAGACTGTACTTGGAAGAGTGCCTACATTTGTTCCATTTTTCCTTTTGGCCATAACACAAATAGGGGCTATTCCCATTAGGTTGATATTAGTAAAGATGGGTCCGAAAATGGGAGGTTTCTGGCGGATATCAGGGAAATCTTGCTTTACTGTTGAAAGAAGACTATTTGCAGGCCTCATCAGTCCTTTCAGATTAGGGTCCCATCGATAGGAAATATGTAATTCCGCCTCTATGCTTGTCCATTCTCTGGGCGAGGCTGGATAAGCTGTCCCTGGTGTTTCAGTGGAAGAGCTAGTACATAACCAGCAATTGGTGGAGTAAGGGGATCCTGTACTTTGGAGCAGTTGCTGAGCTTTTTCCAATAACGGGAAATCAGGATGGCGGTAGGCTGCTAGTGAAGGCGTGAGAATGAGAACCAGCAGGAGCAGGCCCATGGTGACCTAAGAGAAACTGGTCACAAAACGAGCTGCCAATGGAACTCCTGGTGGTGTACAAGTTAGGGTTAAAATAGTGATAACAATCAGAGCAATTGCCAGTAAAATTTCTAGTATTGGGATCACCTTACTTTGAGGTGAAAGGATGTTGGTGGGGCATTACTTATCTTTTTGTTTAAAGAGGAATTTTAGATCTTCCAGTGCCTTGCAAGTGTATTCCGGAGCTGAGGTTGCTGGTTCTGGCTCTGGAGTTTAAGGGCTTTTCCACAGCTTCACTTGGGTGTGATGGATCTAGCTGGCAGTCTCCAGTACTGTAATGGCTGTAGGGGTAGATAATAGAATGGTGAAGGGGCCCTTTCAAATAGGAGTTTGTTGGGAATTTGGGGTTCCATCCTTCCAGGCGTTAATGAGAAGTTGTGAGCCTATGGGGTATAGAGGTGGGGATTTTTCCCCTTCAGATTTCAGGTTTGTTTGTAAACCATATTCCCAGAGAGCCTGTTAGAAGCCTGCTAAAGAAGAAACATAGTGGGTGATTTTAGCAGTTTCTTCATCTAGTAATGACAGAATATAGGAATGGCCTACCATATAAAGCCTTGAAGGGGCTTAATTGCAAGGGAGCCTTAGGGGCAGCAAATCAGAAGGAGGGCTAAAGCTAAGAGGTACACCCATGGCTGTGCTGTTTCCTGGCAGAGTTTGTTGGGGATGTGTTTGAGGGTTTGGTTATTTCCACTTTTCCTGAAGATTACAGTCTCCTGGCAGAGTGAAGCTTTATGTCCAGGGCACTACTAACCTGTTGAGTTAATTGGGAAATGAAGGATGGACCATTGTCATTCTGCAATGACCTGGGTTGGCTGAACTGAGGAATGAGTTCCTTTAGGAGGAATTTAGCTACCTCCTGTGCCTTTTCAGTCCTTGTGAGGCAGGCTTCTACCCATCCTGTGAAGGTGTCTACACAGACCACGAGGTACTTAAACCTGTGGTATGCAGGGAGCTGAGTGAAGTCCATCTGCCAGTCCTCCGCAGGGTATGTACCTCTCCTTTGGATTGGACTTACTGATGGAGAGGGCTTCCCCGTCTGGGGATTATTTATAGTGCACAAAGTGCAGGCTTGACAAACCTGTTGAATAGTTTTATTTAGTCCCTCCCCCACTGAACACTGGTTTACAAATTTGCCTTAGACTGTCTCTTCTAAAGTGGCGGGAGTCCTGTAAACTCTTGATGGTTTCCATTGGTAGGCTTTAGGTAGACGGAGAAGTTCTCCCAACCTATATCATCCATTGGTTTCTTTTCAATACCCATGTTGGGTGGCCCAATCTGTTTCTTCCTTAATGTATTGGAGAGAGAGCAGTTCACTGGGGAGAGAGATGAGCAAGGCCCCCATGAAGGTATCTTTTGAGATGCCTGTCTCTTTAGCTGTTTAGTTAGCTAACCTATTTCCCTATGCAGTTTCATTAGAGCCCCTTTGGTGTCCTTTACTGTGCACTATTGTCACCTCCTGGGGCAAATGAACAGCTTCTAATAGCTCTAAGATTTGAGGCCCATATTTAATTTGAGTATCTGGAGCTGTTAGGTACACCCTCTCCTTCCAGATAGCTGTGTGAGTGTGAAGAACCAGAAACGTGTATTTGGAATTTGTATATACTCCTTTTCTTTCCCCTAGTTTAGGGCTTTCGTCAGCACAGTGAGTTTGGCTAATTGCACAGAGGTCCCCGGGGACAGAGCTTTAACCTCTGTAATTTGTTGAAGGGACATTGTACCATACTCTGCATATCTAGCTCTATCCCTGACAAAGCTATTCCCACCTGAAAACCGTATGTCATGTGGATTATCTAGGAGCTGATCTTTTAAATCTTCCTGGCTGGCATAAATTTGGTTAAGTATCTCACAACACAAATGTGGTGTTATGGTCTCCTGGTAGTGGCAGTAAGGAAACTGAGTTAAGGGTGGAACACTGCTCAACTGTTACCTATGGGTTTTCTAACAACAAGACTTGGTACTTTAGGAGTCTGTTTTCAGACACGTTGTATTCTCTGTCTGCAAGGAAGTTTGGTGTTTGGACTAGATGTTGGATTCCCAGTTCTCTTGTTGGGGAGCAGATTAACAGGTCATCCATGTATTGTAGGAGACACTCTCTCCTCTCAAGACTTAGGTCCTGCAAATCTCTAGCCAGGGCTTGCCCAGACCAATGGGGACTGTCTCTGAAACCCTGTTGAAGCACTGTGCAGGTGAGCTGTTGACTCCTTCCTTTTCATTCTCCCACTCAAATGCAAATAGAAATTGGGAGGATGGGTCGAGGGGGAGATACAAAAGAAAGAGTCTTTAAGGTCTAAGACTGGAAACCACTGAGCATCTGGAGGTTGGGGAAGAATTACATATGAGTTGGGGATCATTGGGTGTATTGGGACTACTGCCTCATTTATGATTCTCAGGTCCTGGACTAGCCTGTATTTTTCATTGCTCTTTTTAACAGGTAAGATGGGGTGTTATAGGGTATTAATAATCCATGTTTTTGAAATTTTTCAGTCAGAAGCTGAAATCCCTCTTTGGCCTCCAGCTGAAGAGGAAACTGCCTTCTACAAGGATAGCTAGAAGGATTCTTGGGCTGAATTACTATAGGCATTGCCATTATGGCCTTTCCTGTTATTCCTGAGGCCCAGACCTCTGGATAAATGGGAAGGTCTGTGAACAGTTCATCCTTGTGTATGGTTTCCTTGAGGCATAAGATTGCATTTGAAAAAGGGGGTGTTGGCCCTGGAGGAAAGGTTAACTGAGCCCCTAGTCTGAGCAAAATATCTCTACCCAAAAGGTATGTAGGGTATTCTGGCATCACTAAAAATGAATGAGAAAAGACGGTTTTCCCCCAGAGACAGCACAGAGGAGGAGTAAACCTCCAGGTTACGGGCACTTCATATCCTCCCAGGAGGATAATTGCCTGGGAAAAGAGGTAAGCATTGAGCAGGCAGCCCTCATGTCCAAAAGAAAACTTACAGTCCTACTGGGCACATCCAAGGCAGCCCTTGGCTCTGTCCCTTCAATAGTGTTATTTAATCCAGGAGCCAAGTGGAGCGTAGGGCCCCCTTCAGCTCAAGGAGCTGAAGGTCATCCAGTTGGGATGTCCTGAGGGCCTTTCAGCTTTCAGGGTAGTCCTGTTTCCCAGTGGCCAAGATTGTGGCAATTGGAGCATGGAGAGCTGGGGGTGGGTGTCCCCATCAGTTTGGGCACTGCCTTCTTGTGTGGCCTGGCTCCCCACAGAAGTAGCATTTGGGCAAAGGGATCTCCCTGGGGCCTGCCAGAGGTGGCTGGCAGGTTTGCAGGGCAGTCAGTAGTTGGAGCTGTTGCTTTTCCTTTTGCCTCTCCTTTTCTTGAGCCCTTTCCTACTCCTCCTGGTTTTGGTTGTAAAAGACCAAGGAACCTACTTTGCAGATGTCAGGCATAGGGGTACTGGGATCCAGTGCTAGTTTCTGGTGTTTCCTCCTAATATCTGGTGTTGTTTGAGTTAGGGAAATGATCCTTTATGAACAGTTGTCCTTCTAGTGGGTCTGGGTCTAGGTTAGTGTGTTTCACTAGGGCCTCTTCTAGCCTGTCTAAGAAAATGGTGAGGTTTTCATAAGGCCCTTGATCTGTCAAGCCCAATTTATTACAGTTCACAGGCTTTGCTCTGCTAGCTTTCATTCCTTCTATCAGATAGAGGAACATGTGGGTCCTTGCTCATGTACTCCCCTGGATATTGTAATCCCAATTGGGGTTGACCTGGGGAACTATGGTGGCCCCCACAGGGTAGCCACCAGTGTCAGGCATGTGCATTGTGTTTGCAAATTGTTGGACCGCCACCATAATGGAGTCACATTCTCCCTTAGGCAGAGTTTGCCCTAGTATGACTGAGAGGTCCCTCCTGGTGAGTTCAGATGTTAAGCCCAGTTTATAAAACACTTTGATATATTTGTCAGGGTCCTCCATAAACTTCCCTAGTTCCATTTTAATTTGGCTCAGGTCTTGCACAGTGAATGGAGTCTGGACTCCAGTGGGTCCACTGGGACCACTAAACCTCCTGAATGGGGCATAACTTAAGGAGGTGGTGTCCAGAGGATGGCCCTGGGTAGGGAGGAGAAGGCTTCTGGGAGACTTCGATATAATTGGGTAGAAGGGGCAATGGGGCTTGAGCTCTGGGTAAACCTGATGAGGGGCCTTCTGAACCAATGGGAAGGGGCTGCATGACTATGGCCATGGATCTGTTTTACAAGCCCAACAAAGGTCAGGGTTGTTTCTTAGGGCCATGAAGGCCAGCACATAGGGGATTTCTGTCCATTTTCCCTGGTGGTAGCAAAACAAATCTAGTTGATGGATCATATTTAAATTTGTGCTTCTATTTTCTGGCCAAGATTCCTGGTCCTAGAGCTTTTATTCAACCCAGGCTGTATTACAGAAAAATATTAGCCTTTTCCTTTTTAGGGTTTGGGAGTCAAACTTTTCCCAGTTCTTGAGGATGTATCCTAGTAGTGTGTCCTGTGGTACAGAGACTTGATTACCTGTCCACAGAGAGAACAGAGGAGAGAAGAGAAAAAGAAGGCAACCCCTCCAATTTCCCTACTGTCTTTTTCCTGAACTTACAGCAGACCAGAGTGGGTAGGGCATTACCCCATTCATCCATTTTTCCTTTGCGTATGGCAGTGTCCCCCATTCATTCTAGGGGTTCCAGAATGAACCAGTGCTTACCAGGTACCCCTAACCTTGGTCCCATCTTGTTTTATTGAGGCACAATTACCCGTTTGTAAAGAAAGAACAGAGGCGAGAAGAGGGCATCTCCCCTTGTTCTCTTAATCCTGTGCCTATGGCAGACTACAGTGAACAGGGTGCCCTCCCACTCATCCAAGGGGTTCTGGAATGAACCCAGTGTTTACTGGGTACCCCTACCCTGATCCCATCCCATTTCTGGACCAGCCTTCATCTGTGTTGCAGTGGTAATCTGTTTTGTGTTTGTAGCCTGGAACTAGTCTTCATCTCTGTTCTATGGGTACTTTGGTCTCTTGCATCTGCCTCCTTGGGCTGTCCTATATCCTTGTCTCCATGACCTTATAGTGACCCTTGTTCAGAGCATTCTAGCAACAGAATGATTATCTCTTCTCAGATTCTCATTTCCCATGTTCTTTAAGAAGACGAGAAGCCTGTTTTTCTGCCAATTGCTGCAAGGGGGCTGGACTTCTCTCCCTTCAAATATAACTTTGAAGGTCCTGATACATATTGAGAAGGGCCTGGAGGTGATTAGAGGAATGGAGGAAAATTTGTATTTGGGATTCTTCATCCTCCCAGGGTAACATGCAGAACAAATGCTTAACGAGGTAGAACAATCCCTCTGCTACAGGAGAAAGCGGGAGGAAGCAAGAGGAATACTCATGGAAAGCCTTCATATGTTTGCAGAAACAGCAGCCCTTGGATTTGAGAGGGCAACGTTTATTTGCCCTCTTGATATAAAGGAGGAACCTCTGGAGGACTTGGTGTTTGGGATAAGACCCTGCAAACGGCAGAGAATTTTCCTTCCCCACAAAGGGGTGCTAACTCAGAAAAAAAGCGAGTGGGTGGGGTCCTTAAGGGCTACAGAGTGAGGTCCTATGCAAGCAAGCAAACCATTCAAAAGCCAGGGAGAAACATGGCCCTGGAGCATAACAGGGATGAAAAGCATATGGTAAGTCATAAGGAGCTGACAGAGCTAAGGTTCTGATTAGTGTCTATCCCGGCAGTGAGCCAACAGACAGGGAAAGGGTTGGAGGTCATCCGAGCTGGTAGGGTAACAAGTATAAATATCAAGGGACATCCGTAAGGGAGTCCATCTCTTGGTTGCCAGGCTAACACAGCAAGAGCTGCGGGTGCATGAATAACAAATAGGGAATGTGTGTTTAAGGCAGAGAAGAAAGTTGCAGGGCATGCAAAGTAAGAACAGAGAAAAGACAGACTTACCCCCAAGGCAGTTGGTCCAATGGGTGTGCGAGGTCATTTTGGAATACATACAGAGAAAGGAAAATAGGTGGTGGTGGGTTTTTGGGAAAGAGCTGATTTTAGTTGAAAAAGCAGAGGAAACCCCAGATACTACATGGTTGTAGGTTTTAGCCCTACCGCTCTCATCAGCCTCCTGTCTGGGGGGGCCATTAGTGTCTCAGGTCTACTTAGTGCAGACTCCAAGGTCCTTCCCACCCCTGCAAGCCATCCTTCGGGGTGAGCAGAGAGAGCAGCCAGGGGGAGCAGAGCCACTGTGGTTGAGAGGAATCGTTCCAGGGGTAGGTTAGTAAGCAGGAGAGTGAAAGAGGAGAACGAAACCACGTACGAGGGTTGAACGCCTCCAGCCGAAGAAGGCAAGGCGTAGAGGTGTCTTACCACTAGGGAAGGTATCCGAGTCACTGCACCATTTGAGAGATCCAAGTGCCCTGTTCAGCCCTTGACTTGGGGTTTTATACATCGGCATGGTTCCGGGGTTTCCATTTCTCCTCCTTGGATTTTTTTCCTTGGGGTGGGCTGTCTGCTGTGCAGTGGCCTGTCAGCACTTGGGAGGAGCCACATGTGCATTTGTTTACTGAAGTTGTGCGCATGCTTTCTTGAGACATTTTTCCCTTATCAGTCAGGTGTTCCTAGAGGAAGGTCACATACTGGTTAAACTGTCATTTTGCTTCTTAGTGCGCATGCTTGAGCCCACTTGCCCAGCTTCGGAGATCTTATCAGGAAGTTGCTGATCACCAGCTTCCGGTGTTTCCTGTCTTTTGGGAGACTGTCTTTCCCTGGTACTGGCTGCAACCCATTATTATTATTTTAGAGAAACAGTGTAACAACCGCCTGATCATCACCTGATGGTCGCCTGACATTCCTGAGCTGGGGGCCCTCTCCTGCCCTGCTCATGTCTGCCTGACTACCTACTCTAACAGAACCAGCTTAACCTAATGGCCTCCTGATAGAACTGCTTGCTTTTTTTTTTTTGGAGACAGCCTCGCTCTGTCTCCCAGGCTGGAGTGCAGTGATGCAATCTTGGCTCACTGCAACCTCCACCTCCCGGGTTCAAGTGATTCTTGTGCCTCAGACTCCTGAATAGCTGGAATTAACAGGTGTGCACCACCATGCCCAGCTAATTTTTGTATTTTTAGTAGAGACAAGATTTCACCATGGTGGCCAGGCTGATCTTGAACTCCTGACCTCAAGTGATCTGCTGTCCTTGGCCTCCCAAAGTGCTGGGATTACAGGCATGAACCACCACACCTGGCCCAAACTGCTTTCCATAAACATAAATTTACCTTTCTAATGTAAATCAAATCACACAACATGCTTTTTGTGTTTGACTTCTTTCTGCTAGCATAATGCTTTTGAAATCTATTTGTGTTGTGTATATCAGTAATACATTCTTTTGTATTGCTGAAAGAGTATTCCATTGTATAGATATACCACAATTTGTTTATCCATTTACTCATTGATGGACATGAGAGTGGTTTCCAGCTTTTGGCTGTTAGTATTATTATTGTTTTATTTATTTATTTTTTTGAGATGGGGTCTTGCTCTGTCGCCCAAGCTGGAGTGCAGTGGTATGATCTTGGCTCACTGCAACCTTTGCCTCCTGGGTTCAAGCAATTCTCCTGCCTCAGCCTCCCAAGTAGCTGGGATTATAGGCACCTGCCACCATGCCTGGCTAATTTATTTTATTTTATTATATATTTTTTTGTATTTTTAGTAGAGACGGGGTTTCACCATGTTGGCCAGGCTGGTTTCGAACTCCTGACCTCAAGTAATCCACCCGCCTGGGCCTCCCAAAGTGTTGGGATTACAGGCGTGAGCCTGTAGTAGTAGTATTAGTAGTTAGTAGTATTATTAACATTCAGTTGCAAATCTTGGTGTAGACATATGTTTTCATTTCTCTTGAGTAACTTCATTTCTCTTGAGAAACTGCCAAACATTTGCATTGCCAGCAGTCATGAGTGAGAATTTGTTACTCCGCATCCATCACCAACATTTGATGGTATTGTCTGTTTTTAATTTAGCCATTCTAGAGGATGGGTATTATGCTTTTGATTTTTGTTTCATTAATGACTAATTATTTTCAGCATCTTTTATGTGTTATTTGCCATTCTTTCTACCTTCTGTGTAAATCATCTTTACAAGTTTTTTCTACTCATTTAAAAAATTGTGTTACTTTTATCAAGTTGTAAACAATTCTTTATTCTGGATACAAGTTTTTTTTGTTTGTTTTTATCAGATATGTTTTGCAAGTATTTTCTTCTATTCTGTAGCTTGCCTTTTTATTTTTATTTTTTTGAGATGGAGTCTTGCTTTGTTGCCCAGGCTGGAGTACAGTGGCACAATCTTGGCTCACTGCAGCCCCCGCCTCCTGGGTTCAAAAGGTTGCCCTGTTTCAGTCTCCCCAGTAGCTGGGAATTACAGGCATGTGCCACCATACCTAGCTAATTTTTGTATTTTTAGTAGAGGCAGGGTTTCACCATGTTGGCCAGGCTGGTTTCGAACTCCTGATCTCAGGTGGTCCACCCATCTCGGCCTCCCAAAGTGCTGGGATTACAGGCATGAGCCACCGCACCCGGCTGCCTTTTTATTTTTAAATGTCATTTGTTTTGTGTTGTTATTGTTTGATAAGTCCTTCTTATCAAGTTTTTAAGGTATGACATATAAAGTTATTCTTTTTGTTTTTTTTTTTTAATTTTTTTGAGACGGAATCTCACTCTGTCGCCCAGGCTGGAGTGCAATGGCGCGGTCTTGGCTCACTGCAACATCTGCCCCCAGGATTCAAGCGATTCTCCTGCCTCAGCCTCCTGAGTAGCTGGGATTACAGGTGCGCGCCACCACGCCTGGCTGATTTTTGTATTTTTAGTAGAGATGGGATTTCACCATGTTGGCCAGGCTTGTCTCAACCTCCTGATCTCAAGTGATCTACCTGCCTCGCCCTCCCAAAGTGTTGGGATTACAGGCAGTTGAAGGTAGTTTTACCTTTTCTTCCCAATGTGTACATTTGTCTTTTAGCTTTTGCCTCATTGCACTGGCTAGGGCCTTATAATGTTGCAAGAAAGGAGTGAGAGCAGACCTTCCTCCCTGATCTTTTGGAGTGAAATATTTAGCCTTTTACCATTAAATAAATTATTAGCTGTGGGATTTTAATAGATATTCTTTATCAAGTTTAGGAAGAAAACTTCCCCTCTGTTTCTACTTTGTGGTGATTTTTCTTTTTTTTTTAAATCAGGAGTGGATATTGGATTTTTTTTTTTAATGATTTTTCTGTATTGAGATGGTCATGCACTTTTTCTCTTTTTTTTTTTTTTTTTTTTTTTTGAGATGGAGTCTCACTCTGTCGCCCAGGCTGGAATGTGGTGGTATGATCTCGGCTCACTGCACCCTCCTCCTCCCAGGCTTAAGTGATTCTCGTGCCTCAGCCTCCTAAGTAGCTGGGATTACAGGCGTGTACCACCACACCCAGCTAATTTTTGTATTTTTTAGTAGAGACGGGGTTTCACCATGTTGATCAGGCTGGTCTCGAACTCTTGACCTCAAGTGATCCACCTACCTTGGCCTCCCAAAGTGTTGGCATTATAGGCATGAGCCACCACGCCCGGCTGTATTTTTTCTCTTTTAAGTCTGTTAATATGGTGGATTTTGTTGCATTTCGAATGTGAAAGTAACCCATTCCTCAGATAAACCTGTTTTGGTCATGACATGTTATCCATTTTCTATACTGTAGCAATTAATTTAGTAAACATTTAAGATTTTTCTCTTTATATTCATGAGAAATACTTGTGGTTTTCTTAAACACCCTTGTCTGGTTTTGTCATCGTGTTAATGCAGACCTTATTACATGAGTTGGGTACTGTTCCTGTCTCTTTGGATTTTTGGAAGCATTTACATACAATTGCTATATTGGTTTTCTATTGCTGCATAACAAATTCCCATAAATTTAGCAGCTTAAGACAACGCACAGTTATTAGATATCAGTTTCTGTGGGTCAGGAGTCTCCACCTGGCTTAGCTGGGTCCTCTGCTCCTAAAGCTGCAGTCAGGGTGTTGGCCTGGCTGCGTTCCTTTCTGGAGCTTGGGTTCCTCCTTCAAGCTTATGTGGTTGTTGGCAGGATTCAGTTCCTTGTGACTGAGGACTCAAGGTGGCTCACCTCTTCATGCCAGTTGAATCTCTGACACCAGGGAGGGTCCCAATCCCTCTTTTAAGGTTTTTACCTAATTGAGTCAGGCCCACCCAAGGTAATTTCACTTTTGAATAACTAAAAATCAACTGATTGAGACCTTAATTATAGTTTCAAAATCCCTTCATCTTTACCAAATAATATAACCTAATAAAGGGATTAACTATCCCATTACCTTTGCCATGTTCTTTCTTTCTTTCTTTTTTCTTTTCTTTTTTTTTTTTTTGAGACAGAGTTTCACTTTTGTTGCCCGGGCTGGGGTGCAATTGCTCAGTCTCGGCTCACTGCAACCTCTGCCTCCTGGGTTCAAGCAATTCTCCTGCCTCAGCCTCCCAAGTAGCTGGGATTACAAGCATGGGCCACCATGCCTGGCTAATTTTTTTGTATTTTTAGTAGAGACAGGGTTTCTCCATGTTGGTCAGGCTGGTCTCGAACTCCCGACCTCAGGTGATCCAACTGCTTCGGCCTCCCAAAGTGCTGGGATTACGGGCGTGAGCCACCATGCCCTGCCGGCCGGCCTTCCTTCCTTCCTCTTTTTTTTTTTTTTTTTTTTTTTTTTTTTGACAGAGTCTCACTCTGTCACTCAGACTGGAGTACAGTGGTGTGATCTCTGCCCACTGCAACCTCCGCCTCCCAGGTTCAAGCGATTCTCGTGCCTCAGCCTCCCAAGTAGCTGGGACTACAGGCATGCAGTACCACACACAGCTAATTTTTGTATTTTTTGCTAGAGATGGGGTTTCCCCATGTTGGCCAGGCTGTTCTCAAACTCTGGGCCTCAGGTGATCCGCCCACCTCAGCTTCCCAAAGTGCTGGGATTATAGGCATGAGCCATTGCTCCTGGCCAGCTTTGCCATGTTCTGTTGGTTAGAAGCAGATCAGTTTCTACCCACATTCAAGAGGAGGAGTCATATAAAGATTACACAAAGGATTGACTCATTGGGATTACTAGAGTGTGTCTGTCACATTTGACATAATTTCTTTGTAAATGTTTGGTAGAATTCATCTGGGCTGGGACTTTTCTTTTTGGAAAGATTTTCAACTACAAATTCTGTTTCTTTATTAGATATTGGACTATTCCACTTACCTGTTTCTTCTTGAATGAGCTTTCAGAGTTTGTGTTTTTCAGGCACTGTGTCTGTTTACTCTGAATTGTATAATTTACAGGGATAAAGTTTATAATATTTCTTAATTAGCCTTTTAACACCTGTAGGATCTGATATTGATTATTTGTGTCCTTTCTTGTTTGTTTGTAATTGGCCTGACTAGAGGTTTATAAATTTTATTGATCTTTTCCAAGAACCACCTTTGGTTTAATTGATTGTTTTCTCCCTATTGCTTGTCCATATTCTGTTTCATTGGTTTATGCGTATATCTATATATCTTTCCTTCTGCTTATTTTGAGTTTAATTTGTACTTCTTTTTCAAGTTTCTTATGGGGAAATCTTGGGTTATTGATTTTAGACTTTTCTTATTTTTAAGAAAATAGACATTTAATGATAATTGTTTCTTTTTTTTTTTTTTTTTTTTTTTTTTTGAGACGTAGTCTTGCTCTGTTGCCAGGCTGGAGTGCAGTGGCGCGATCTCGGCTCACTGCAACCTCCACCTCCCGGGTTCAACTGATTCTCCTGCCTCAGCCTCCTGACTAGCTGGTACCGCAGGTGCCTGCCACCACGCCCGGCTAATTTTTGTATTTTTTTTTTTTTTTTGAGACGGAGTCTCGCTCTGTCGCCCAGGCTGGAGTGCAGTGGCGGGATCTCGGCTCACTGCAAGCTCTGCCTCCCGGGTTCACGCCATTCTCCTGCCTCAGCCTCCCAAGTAGCTGGGACTACAGGCGCCCGCCACTACGCCCGGCTAATTTTTTGTATTTTTTTTTTTTTTTTTTAATAGAGACGGGGTTTCACCAGGTGGCCAGGATGGTCTCAATCTCTTGACCTCGTGATCCGCCTGCCTTGGCCTCCCAAGGTGTTGAGATTACAGTCGTGAGCCACCATGCCTGGCCGACGTTTAATAGTTGTTTGTAAGTATTGATTTTGACGTTTAAATTTTTATTCAATTCAAGATATTTTCTAATTTCACTTGTGATTTCTCCCTTGAACCATGGATTATTTAGAAGTATGTTGTTAAATTTTGAATATTTGTTCTTTTCCAGATATTTCGTTATCAGTTTCTAATTTGACTTTTTTATGGTCACACAATGTATTTTGTATGATAAAATTTAGGAGGGTTTACTCTTACATTTAATGGGACTTATGATACAGAATATGGTCTATCTTTTTTTTTTTTTTTCTTTTTAAGAGAGGGTCTCTCTCTGTCACCCAGGCTGGAGTGCAGTGGCAAGATCTCCGCTCACTGCGACCTCCGCCTCCCGGATTCAAGCGATTCTTGTGCCTCAGCCTTGCAAGTAGCTGGGATTGCATGCCCAACAAATTTTTGTGTTTTCAATAGAGATGGAGTTTCACCATGTTGGCCAGGCTGGTCTCGAACTCCTGACCTCAGGTGACCCGCCCGCCTCGGCCTCCCAAAGTGCTGGGATTACAGGTGCATGCCACCATTCCTGGCCAATTTTTGTATTTTTAGTAGAGATGGGGTTTCGCCATGTTGGCTAGGCTGGTCTCGAACTCCTGACCTCAGGTCATCTGCCCACCTCAGCCTTCTAAAGTGCTGGGTTTAAAGGCATGAACCACCACCTATGGCCAGTATATGGTTTGCCTTTGTGAACGTCCCATATATAATCAAAAGGAATGTTTTTTTCTGCTATTGATTGAAATGTTCTGTACATCTCAGGTCAGTTTGGTTGAGGGTTGTTTGGTACTTTTGTGAAAGGGCACCAGCAGCTTTTGCTATACAGTAGCTACTATGTTATATAGTAGGACTCTTCAGAGCAGACATTGAGCTCTGTAATGAATCAATTGGTCAAATTAATTAAATCTTGATAGTTTTGGGAGTGGGGTTGGGACAGGGAGAATAATAGTTGATTTGTTTTGAGTATCTACTTTGTGCCAGGTGCTACTTTAAGGCATAGTGAACACACTGGAAAACTGATTAAACCATACGTTTCGTTTCCTTAAGAAACTTGTTTCTCATAGGGAAGGTGGTCAGTACTATGCAGGATGAAAGTGAGCATGAGGTGCTAAAGCAATTACCCAAAATAGGTCATATTGAGGTAATAGTATTGTAGAACGATCTAAAAGTTATATATTAATAATACTTAAAATTCTTAGTTACAGTGGTAGTAGTCTCATATCTGTATTCTTTGCCTTAGAGGGGAGGAGGTTGGAGCCTATGAGATGGTAACAGAGCTAATATTTGATGAGTACTTATTATGTTTTAGGCATTCACTTTAGCTTGTTACATGTATTAACTTTTAATTACCACATACCCTTTGAGAATGGGTACTGTTATTCACATTTTATAGAACAGGAAACTGAAGCACATAGAGGTTAACTTGCCGAAGTCGGAAATAAGTTACTGAGTTAGGATTCATGGAAGAACATTGCAGTCTAACATGCCTCTGAGATATAAGAAATTATGGGGACAATCCAGTTGATAGATACAAGGATGTGATCTAGGATAGAGAATGACACTAGGAGTGTAGAGAAGGAAACAGATGTGAGAGGGTTTATTAAAATAGAATCTATAGCACTGGGATAAGATAAAGTGGGAACAAAATGCTGAAGAAGAACTCTTTTCTGCCATAGAGATGGGGAGAGAATGTAGTTCTCCCAAAGAGCTGTTGGATGGAGACAGACAGCAGACACATGCGCGTGCACTCTCTCCTCTCTCTCTTTCTCTCTCTCACTCACTCACTGTTTTTGAGATGTCTTCAAACTAGCCAGGTAGAAATTCCCTCTTGAGGTTCAGGAAAGGTGGAAAGTATGGATGAAAATTTGGTCCTCGGGCCGGGCTCGGTGGCTCACGCCTGTAATCCCAGCACTTTGGGAAGCCGAGACAGGCGAATCACGAGGTCAGGAGATCGAGACCATCCTGGCTAACACGGTGAACCTCCGTCTCTACTAAAAACACAAAAAATTAGCCAGGCGTGGTGGCGGGCCCCTGTTGTCCCAGCTACTCGGGAGGCAGAGGCAGGAGAATGGTGTGAACCCGGGAGGCGGAGCTTGCAGTGAGCCCAGATCGTGCCACTGCACTCCAGCCTGGACGACAGAGCGAGACTCCATCTCCAAAAAAACAGAAAATTTGGTCCTCATCATCTATAATAACGATGATATTTGGATCCATGGCAGTGTTGTGATCACCAGAAGAAGAAGAAGAGAACAGAAAGAGGAGAGAAGAGATTTTAAAAGGTAACTTGAAATGTCTTATGATTATTGGATAGAAAAGCTTTGGATTTGGAGGTACTATGATTCAAATTTGTATTGATTTGATAGTGGTAACTCCAGGGGCTTAATAACTTCTAGCATTGCCTAGTGTGTCATTGAGAAAGGGGTGTGTACAATAGAGGGAGAATTTTAAGAATTAGAAGAGCTTGGCTTACTTGGTTTAGTCTACATTTAGGATTTGGACATACTGTCTCATAGATGAGCCTTTGCTGCCTTCAGAATAAAATGGAAATAAGGTAATAAGATTGAAAATGGAAAAGAGCTTTTTATAAATGTGAAATTGGTAGTGAGCCAGTCAACTAGCTACTTAGATACTATCATGAAGGTGAGATTATATAACTCCACTGGAATGATTCCACAATTTACAAAGATCAGAATTTGTAGTTATACTGCACCTGGGCTTTTGGACTGAAAATACCTTGGGTAGTGTGTCTTAATCGGTTTGGGCTGCTGTAACAGAAATACCATAGACCAGGTGGCTTATAAACAACGGAAGTTTATTTCTCATGGTTCTAGAGGGCTGGGAAATCCAAGATCAAGGTACTGGCAGATTTAATGTCTGGTGAGGGCCTGCTTCCTGGTTCATAGATGTCTGTCTTCTCACTGTGTCCAAACATGGCAGAAGGGGAAGGAGTGAGGGAGCTCTCTGGGGTGTTATTTTAATAAATGCATTAATCCCATTCATGAGGACTCCACCCTATGACCTAATCACCTCCCAGAGGCTCCACCTGCAAATACTGTCACATTGGGGATTAAATTTCAATATATGAATTTTGGGAGCACACAAACATTCA